>NC_000024.10:7544864-7845274 GCF_000001405.40 Homo sapiens | reverse complement strand
ATGTTCTCATTTTTTCAATTCCCACCTATGAGTGAGAATATCTGGTGTTTGGTTTTTTGTCCTTGCAATAGTTTGCTGAGAATGATGGTTTCCAGCTTCATCCACGTCCCTACAAAAGACACACACTCATCATTTTTTAGGCTGAATAGTATTCCATGGTGTATATGTGACACATTTTCTTAATCCAGACTATCATTGATGGACATTTTGATTGGTTCCAAGTCTTTGCTATTGTGAATAGTGTCACAATAAACGTTAAGTGTGCATATGTCTTTGTAGCAGCATGATTTATAATCCTTTGTGTATATACCCAGTAATGGGATGGCTGGGTCAAATGGTATTCCTAGTTCTAGATCCTTGAGGAATCACCACACTGTCTTCCACAATGGTTGAACCAGTTTCTAGTCTCACCAACGGTGTAAAACTGTTCCTATTTTTCCACATCCTCTCCAGCACATGTTGTTTCCTGACTTTTCAATAATAACCATTCTAACTGGTGTGAGATGGTATCTCATTGTGGTTTTGATTTGCATTTCTCTGATGGCCAATGATGATGAGCATTTTTTCATGTGTCTGTTGGCTGCATAAATGTCTTCTTTTGAGAAGTGTCTGTTCATATCCTTCACCCACTTTTTTATGGGGTTCTTTTTTTTTCTTATAAATTTGTTTGTGTTCTTTGTAGATTCTGGATATTGCCCTTTGTCAGATGAGTAGAATGCAAAATTTTTCTTCCATTCTTTATGCTGCCTGTTCACTCTGATGGTAGTTTCTTTTGCTGTGCAGAAGCACTTTAGTTTAATGAGATCCCATTTGTCAATTTTGGCTTTTGTTGCCATTGCTTTTGGTGTTTTAGACATGAAGTCCTTTCCCATGCCTATGTCGTGAATGTTATTGCCTAGGTTTTCCTCCAGGGTTTTCATGGTTTTAGGTCTAACATTTAAGTCCTTAATACATCTTGAACTAGTTTTTTACAAGATGTAAGGAAGGGACACAGTTTCAGCTTTCTACATATGGCTAGCCAGTTTTCTCAGCACATTTATTAAATGGGGAATCTTTTCCCCATTTCTTGTTTATGTCAGGTTTGTCTAAGATCAGATGGTTGTAGATGTGTGGTATTATTTCTGAGGGCTCTGTTCTGTTCCATTGGTCTATATCTCTGTTTTGGTACTGGTACCAAGCTGTTTTGGTTACTGTAGCCTTGTAGTATAGTTTGATGTCAGGTAGCGTGATGCCTCCAGCTTTGTTCCTTTTGCTTAGGATTATCTTGGCAATATGGGCTCCTTTTTGGTACCATATGAACTTTAAAGTAGTTTTTTCCAATTCTGTGAAGAAAGTCCTTAGTAGGTTGATGGGGATGGAATTGAATCTATAAATTACCTTGGGCAGTATGGACATTTTCATGATATTGATTCTTCCTATCCATGAGCATGGAACGTTCGACCACTTTTTGTGTCCTCTTCTATTTCATTGGGCAGTGGTTTGTAGTTCTCCTTAAAGAGGTCCTCCATATCCTTTGTAAGTTGGATTCCTAGGTATTTTCTTCTCTTTGAAGCAATCGTGACTGGGATTTCACTCATGATTTGGCTCTCTGTTTGTCTGTTCTTGATGTATAAGAATGCTTGTGATTTTTGCATATTGACTTTGTATCCTGAGATGTTGCTCAAGTTGCTTATCAGCTTAAAGAGATTTTGGGCTGAGACAAAGGGTTTTTCTAAATATTCAATCATGTCATCTGCAAACAGGGAAAATTTGACTTCTTCTTTTTCTAATTGAATACCCTTTATTTCTTTCTCCTGCCTTATTGCCCTGGCCAGAACTTCCAACACTACGTTGAATAGGAGTGGGGAGATAGGGCATCCCTGTCGTGTGCCAGTTTTCAAAGGGAATGCTTCCAGTTTTTGCTCATTCAGTATGATATTGGCTGTGTGTTTGTTATAAATAGCTCTTATTATTTTGAGATACATCCCATCAATATCTAATTAATTGAGAGATTTTAGCATGAAGGGCTGTTGAATTTTGTCAAAGGTCTTTTCTGCATCTATTGAGACATTGTGGTTTTTGTCTTTGGTTCTGTTTATATGTTGTATTATGTTTATTTATTTGCATATGTTGAAGCAGCCTTGCATCCCAGGGATGAAGCCCACTTGATCATCATGGATAAGCTTTTTGATGTGCTGCTGGATTCAGCTTGCCTGTACTTAATTGAGGATTTTCGCATCAATTTTCATCAGGGATATTGGTCTAAAATTCTTTCTTTGTTGTGTCTCTGCCTGGCTTTGGTATCAGGATGACGCTGGCCTCATAAACTGAGTTAGGGAGGATTCTTTCCTTTTCCATTGATGGTAATAGTTTCAGAAAGAATGGTACTAGCTCCTCCTTGTATGTCGCATAGAATTTGGCTGTGAATCCATCTGGTCCTGGACTTTTTTAGGTTGTTAGGCAATTAATTATTGCCTCAATTTCAGACCCTGTTGGTGGTCTATTCAGGGATTCAACTTCTTCCTGTTTTAGTCTTGAGAGGGTGTATGTGTCCAGGAATTTATCGATTTCTTCCAGATTTTCTAGTTTACTTGCATCAAACCAGAATTTCATATCCAGCCAAACTAAGCTTCGCAAGTGAAAGAGAAATAAAATCCTTTAAAGAGAAGCAAATGCTGAGAGATTTTGTTACCACCAGGCCTACCTACAGGATCTCCTTAAGGAAGTACTAATCATGGAAAGGAACAACTGGTACCAGCCACTGCAAAAACATGCCAAATTGTAAAGACCATTGATGCTGGGAAGAAACTGCATCAACTAATGAACAAAATAACCAGCTAATGTCATAATGAAAGGATCATATTCACACATAACAATATTATCCTTAAATGTAAATGGGCTAAATGCTCCAACTAAAAGACACAGACTGGCAAATTGGATAAAGAGTCAAGACCCATCAATGTGCTGTATTCAGGAGACCCATCTCATGTGCAGAGACACACATGGGCTCAAAATAAAGAGATGAAGGAATATCTACCAAACAAATGGAAAACAAAAATGGCAGGGTTGCAATCCTAGTCTCTGATAAAACAGACTCTAAACCAACAAAGATCAAAAGAGACAAAGAAGGTCATTACATAATGGTAAAGGAATCAATTCAACAAGAAGAGCTAACTATTCTAAATATATATGCACCCAATACAGGACCACCCAGATTCATGAAGCAAGTCCCTAGAGACCTACTAAGAGACTTAGACTCCCACATAATAATAATGGGAGATTTTAACACCCCACTGTCAACGTTAGACAGATCAACGAGACATAAAGTTAAAAAGGATATCCAGGAATTGAACTCAGCTCTGCCCCAAACGGACCTAATAGACATCTACAGAACTCTCCACCCCAAATGAACAGAATATACATTCTTCTCGGCACCACACCACACCTATTCCAAAATTGACCACATAGTTGGAAGTAAAGCACTCTTCAGCAATGTAAAAGAACAGAAATTATAACAAACTCTTTCTCAGACCACAGAGAAATAAAACTAGAACTCAGGATTAAGAAATTCACTCAAAACTGCTCAACTATATGGAAACTGATCAGCCTGCTCCTGAATGACTGCTGGGTACATAATGAAATGAAGGCCAAAATAAAGATGTTCTATGAAACCAATGAGAACAAAGAAAAAATACACCAGAATATCTGGGACACATTTAAAGTAGTGTGTAGAGGGAAATTTATAGCACTCAATGCCCACAAGAGAAAACAGGAAAGATCTAAAATTGACACCCTAGCATCATAATTAAAAGAACTAGAGAATGAAGAGCAAACACATTCCAAAGCTAGCAGAAGGCAAGTAATGACTAAGATCAGAGCAGAACTGAAGGAGACAGAGACACAAAAATCCCTTCAAAAAATCAATGAATCCACGGGCTTGTTTTTTGAAAAGATCAACAAAATTGATAGACTGGTAGCAAGACTAATAAACAAGAAGAGAGATAAGAATCAAATTGATGCAATAAAAAATGATAAAGGGGATATCACAACCGATCCCACAGAAATACAAACTACCATCAGAGAACACTATAAAGACCTCTATGTGAATTTGGTGATATTTAAAAATAATATACATGATAGGTTTTTCTGTATATTTTTAATGATTCTTTCACAAGAGCTGGTTGGCCTTATTTCTTTACTCAAGCAGATTCTTAATTGTTGTACCCAAGCAAGTTAAAAAATACACCACACTTTGAGATGAATTAAGAGTCCTTTATTAAGCTGGGCGCCAAAGAGATGGCTAATGCTCAAAATTCTCTCGGCCCCGAGGAAGGGGCTTGATTAACTTTTATACCTAGGTTTAGGAAGAGGAGGGGGACTCAAATGCAATAATTCTACAGAAGTAAAAACATGCAAGAATCAAAAGAAGCAAACTGGTTACAGAGAAATAAACAACTTAAAAGACAAATGGTTACAAGAAGAGCAATGGTAGTAGGTGCAAGGTTCTAAATCTTTCATTATAATTAGATATAGGGTCTATGCCAGACATGAACTCCAGGTTTTATGTTGTCATCTCTTTGAGAAAAATCCTGGGAACTTCATACATTGTTGGTGTTAGTACCTTGTCAGTTACTTGGGCTCTTTTGAAATGCTGAGGATCTGTTTACCCAGGCCAACTCCTTACAAAAGGGGGTTGGGTAAGGAGCCCTTAGTGTCTTATAAATTAAGGGGTCAATTGGAGTTGGTCCGACCTTCTCAGCTACAGAGAGTCTTATTTACATGAGAAGCAAGGATAGGTGATTAAAGAGACAAGCAGGACAAAATTCAAAGTAATGAGTTAGAGTAAAAACAAGGTTAGGCATTTCATTTCCCCACTTGTGTTTTAGGGGAATCAAATCGTTGATTCTTCAGTTACAGCAAGGGGGTTATATTGAGTTCTTAGAAACATAAGTTTGACAGAGTCTATGCATTGCTTTACAAAATTAAGGAACCAGTTTAATATACAAGGCCCAAAAATCAAACTCAATAATATGATGATGATGGGTCCAGCTTACCCAGTGATTAAAGTAGTTAGCCAAGGGTTCCAGTTGAACAAGCTTTGATACCAGGGTGTGTTATTTTCTCATTCTTGTTGTCACCTATCTAGATTTTCTTGAACTTTTTGGAGTTTATCTTTTATGAGTCCAGATTCATTGGTGTAAAAACAAGAGCTTTCTCCTAGAGCTGCACATAATCCTCCTTGAGAGAGGAACAGCAGATCTAGACCTCGGCGGTTTTGAAGCACTACTTCAGCTAGAGACTCTACCTGAGAATGTAGTATATCTATGGCAGACTGAAGGTTATTTAAATCAGCATCTACCTGTTGAGACAAGGACATTAGTCCAGTTTCTCCCTGAACCAGGGCAGCCATGCCAATGTCTGCTGATCCAGCTATGCTGAGAACAGCTAATAGAGGAAACAGTAGTGGGGCAGCTTGGTGTAGCCTGGGATATAATTCCAGGGAAGCGATGAGGAGTTGTCCTTCTGATCCACTGTACACGTATACCTGGGGAAGAACATGAACCAGAACACACAAGAGAGGTCCTGGTTCAGTTCCATTAATGCGGCGAGTGAGACCTGAGGTGCAGGCCAGCCAGGTTTTGTTAGGTGCTTGGTAAGAGACTGAGATCCTCATGGGAGTAAGCAGAGACTAATTACAAACATCCTGAAAAGGAGAAATAGATAAGTCATGCCCAGTACTAATTAGACAAGAAGCATTTCCAGACACATCTCCTAATGTGAAAGCACGAGGTCATGTGTGACAGGATAAAGGACCACTTTTAAGTGTCACCTCTACTCCTAATCCTACAGAATAAGGGGGTTTTGCTTTTAAACATAGTCAACAATCCTGGGCTAGTTTAGTCTGGGTGAGGTTAAGGAAATTATGTACTCTACCAAGTATAGACATCCGACTGGGTTGGAGTTATTGTCTTTGCAGCTGGGTCTTAGGAACTGAGAATGGTGGAGGAACAATTAAATCAACTTTGTCAGGGCATTTTTGGAACGTAGGGTCACCTAGATCAGTGAAAGGCCCGAGTGGCTTAGGTGGGCTTCAGGAAACCAAAATTTTCTTTTGGATGGTGAACATAGTTCCAACATCGAATCCTGGGATGTAAAGTCTTAATCCCCATGACATACCATAATATCATTGAGCTGAATTAGGTTCATGGACAATTATGTTAAGAGGATTACAGTTATTTTTAGAACATGATTTGGGATGAGAAGCACGACTTATTGAAAGAGTTGGAGATCTAGTTGATCCCACAGAGTAGGTGGCTAAAGTTACACATGTCCAATCTGGGCAGAAGAACTGTTAAGTATCTCGACAGCTAGCATCAGGGTGATTTCGAGGACAGAGGTAAAAGTCAAATTTTGGAGTCCTTTTTCAGCAGCTTTGCAGCTTCCACATCCGGCTTGGCTCCCAGAGTGTCAAAATCCTGCTGCAAGGTCGACACTTCCTGCTCCCATGACTGGCAGGTTGTTATGCTCTTTGTGGGTATGAGCCAGTTGTGGGAACAGTATACATAAGTCATTTGCAAAGATGACTTCCTTGGAGGTACCAGACTTCCAAGTAGCATTGGTGAAAACACGTCCTGTTGTGAAAGAGGTGAGGAGGAAGGAGTAGGAAGGCACAGAAGACATTACAGGCAAGGATAAACAGAAGAAGTAAATAAAAAGAATTAATCTAACAGTTTCACCCCACTCAGGTGCAGTTTTAAGGGCTCTGACCCAGGCTTGGGGACCCATGTTTCTGTTTGGGCTTTGTTGTCCTTTTTGATGTGGGACTGATGAATCCAAGCAGGAATTCCATCCACCTTCAGAGCTGTTGGCGTCATGAGGATGACAGTGTGAGGTCCCTTCCAAGCAGGAGTTAGTCCTTCTCTCTGGAACTTTTTAACAAACACTAGGTCACTGGGCTGGAACGAACGGCAGAGCCCTTCTGGTGAGGAACTGGACTGGGATGGGCTTCTTGAACAAGTGGCAGAAGATCTCTTGTACCTGTTGGAGAGACTGTATGTACTGCAATAAATTAGCTTGTGATATTTCTGCTAAATGGGCATCTTTTAGCTCAGGCAGGATACGTGGTGCCTGCCCATACATAATTTCAAAAGATGAGAACCCAGCCTGATAAAGGGTGCACCTTACTCTAAATAGGGCTAAAGGAAGAGACTTACCCAATTTTCACCGGTCTCTAGAATTAATTTTGTAAGAATGTTTTTTAGGGTGCGGTTCATGCTTTCTACCTGTCTAGAGCTCTGGGGTCGATAGGCACCATGGAGCTTCCACTGAATGTTCAATGCCTTACTGACTCACTGAGCTATGGATGAGGTGAAAGCAGGTCCATTATCAGACCCTATGGCAGCAGGCAGCCCATATTGGGGGATGATTTCATTGACTAAGAACTTAACTACTGTGTTAGCAGTCTCATTCTTGGTAGCGAATGCCTCAGTCCATCCAGAGAAGGTGTCTATTAATACTAAAAGGTATTTGTACTCAGCCCCGTGTGGATTTACTTCAGTAAAGTCAATTTCCCACTTTTCTCCTGGTGAGTTTCCTTGGAGATGGTGACCTGGGCTGGGTTTAGGACCTTGCTTGGCATTTACCTGGGCACAGGCTGTGCACCAGAGAACTGGTTGATTTGTTAGGCTTTGTAGATGAGGGATCTTAAAACAGCTCTGGAGGAGGTGGGCTAATTTTGTCCCACCTAAATGGGTGGTATAATGTAGATGACTGACTAAAGTTTCTCCAAGAGCTTGGGGTATGAAGATTCTAGAGTCAGGAAGAATCCACCAACCTTTCTGATTTTTATTTGCTCTAAGATGTGAAGCCAATTTTTCTTCTTCTGCTGAGTATGCAGGGTTGTCAGGCAGATCTGGCTGTGGAAAAGAAACTGCTGGCAGCAGGTTTATGGGCCAAACTGAAGACCGTGCCACTTCCTGAGGTGCTGAATCAGCTTTTTGGTTACCGCAGGCAATGGCCGTGTTTTCTTTGTGATGTCCTTTACAATGGATTACAGCCACCTGCTGAGGGAACCACATGGCTTCAAGCAGGGCTAGAATTTCCTCTTTGTTCTTGATAATTTTTCCGGCTGAAGTGAGTAACCCCCGTTCTTGGTAGATGGCTCCAGGTACATGCACAGTAGCAACAGCATGCCTGCTGTCAGTGTAAATGTTAATACGTTTATTCTTACCCCATCGGAGAGCCTGAGTAAGGGTGATTAATTCAGCTTTCTGCGCTGAGGTGTTCGCTGTGGTAACAGCTGCACTGGCTTTTTGTATCCCCTGCTCGAGGGAACTTCTGCTGTCCATGAACACGGTGGCGTCCGCCTTTTTCAGGGGCACATCTTGAAGATCTGGCCTGCCAGTTTTGATAGTTTCTAACAGCTCCTGACAGTCATGGACAGGAATATTAGAATCTGGATCTGAGAGTAGTGTAGCAGGATTTAAACACCTTGTGGGAGAGAAAGTCAAGTGAGGCTGATCCAACAGTAAACTCTGATATTGTAAAATGCGAGTATTTGACATACATTTACCTGAAGCACTTTGTAGTAAAATCTCTACAGCATGAGGAGCCATAAGGGTTAAATTCTGGCCTAGAGTTAACTTATCAGTTTCTTGGACTAGGCTTGCTGTAGCCACTATGTCTTGCAAGCAACTTGGCCATCCTGAGGCCACAGGATCCAGCTTCTTAGATAAATAAGCCACTGGGCGTCTCCAAGGTCCTAAAGTCTGAGTAAGCAACCCCTTAGCAACTCCCTGGCTCTCATGGACAAACAGATGAAAAGGCTTTGAGATATTTGGGAGGGCTAAAGCAGGGGCTGCAGTTAAAGCCTTTTTCAGATTTTGAAAACCCTGTTCCTCAGTGTCTGTCCAAATCAGTGGGCCATTACCTCTTGTAGCAGTATACAAAGGCTTTGCAAACTCTGCAAACCTCAATATCCAGAGATGACAGTATCCCATGGCTCCCAGTAATTCGCGTACCCTTCTCTTGGTGGTGGGAGTGGGGATTCGCAGGATGGCTTCTTTCCGGGCACTGGTGAGTGCCCTGTTTCCTTGGTTTATCTCGTACCCCAGGTAGGACACTCTGGCAAGACAAAGTTGGGCCTTTTTGGCTGAGACTCCATACCTGAGCTCCTGAAGGAGGTAGAGCAGGTCCCTTGTGTGTTGTAGACAACTGTCCATAGTTTCAGTAGCTATTAAAATATCATCTACATACTGAAGAAGAGTACAGTTAGGGTGACTAGCTCGGAAGGGTATAAGATCTTGCCGAAGAGCCTCCCCAAAAAGGGTGAGGTAACTCAGTCCAAGTCAGCTGGGTAGTGTCTCCTGATCTTGGATCTGTCCATTCAATTGCAAAAATAGGCTGGCTTTTGGGGGCCAGAGGAAAAGCAAAGAAAGCATCTTTCAGGTCAAGAACAGTACATACTGTATGTTCTGGTGGGAGCAGGCTGAGTAGAGTATAAGGATTAGGGATGGTTGGATGGACAATAACAGTCCATTTATTAACTTCCCTCACGTATTGTACTGGCTGGTAATCATTTGTCCCAGGTTTCTGGACCGGCAAAAATGGTGTGTTACAGGCCGACTGACATGGTGTAAGTATGCCAGCTTGTAACAGTCATTGAATGTGGGGATTAATCACCTCTCTAGCCTGCTGACTCATGGGGTATTGCTTTACCTGGACCAGTATGGCAGTAGCCAAGAATTCTACAACCTCTGGCAGATGGTGTTTAGCCAGTCTGGGAGGGTTTGACTCGGCCCAAACTTGGGGAAAAAATGTCTGTATGTCCAACAAAAGAGTATTAGTATTTTCCTCCGGTGATTGTGATGGTAAAACCAGAAGGTATTCTTCTGACAGATAGGTAGTTAGCAAGAGTTGGGCAGTTGGGGAAGTTTCATTTCCTAGTGTGAGATGAGCATGCTGAGCTGAAAAGGAGATTGAGGCCTGTAACTTATGGAGCAGGTCTCGTCCAAGGATAAAGGAAAAGGACACTCTGGAACCACCAGAAAAGAGTGTGTCACTCTTTTCTGTCCCAAGTTTACTTCTCGGGAGCGTGTGACAGGGTACTCTTGAATAGCTCCAGTTGCCTTTGTACAGTTATTTTTTTTATTTGAGACACTGCCCAAGGGAGTCTGCAGTACTGAGTGTTCTGCCTCAGTGTCTACTAGGAAACGTACAGGCTGGTCCTCCACTGTAGCAGTTACTATGGGATCCTGGGGGCCAAGAGTGAGGGAGCCCTGGCCCCATCAATTATCAGGCTCCTCTGTTGCAGGCAGGGTGAGAATCTTTTTGTTTTCTGACTTTTCTTTTGGCAGCAGGGGGATCTCCTTTTTCCAATGCCCAGTCTGCTTGCAATAGGCATATTGGTCTTTTCCTAGAGGGGCCTGTTCACCTCTTTTATTTTTCTGGTGGGAACCCGAGGGTCCTTGGTCAATCTTCTGGAATAGGAGCCTTTCCTTTTTGCCCTCTTGGATAGCGGTTTCCAAGATTTTTGCTTGTCTTTTACATGGCTTATCAGCGGCTTTTTCAGTTGCCTGTGTTGCTTGTTTTTGTTTTTCAAATTCTCGGTTTTCAATAACTTTCTGGGCTATTTCTAAAAGCTGACTGATGTTCATCCTAGCAAATCCTTCCAGTTTTTGGAGTTTTCTCCTAATATCTGGGGCTGCCTGAGCCACAAATGCCAAATTAAGAGCACAGCTATTCTCGGGAGCCATGGGGTCAAAAGGGGTATAAATTCAATAAGCCTCCTGGAGACATTCTAAAAACACTCCTGGTGACTCATCAGGCCCCTGGACAGCTTCAGTTGTCTTAGACAAGTTTATGGGCTTCCAAGTGGCTCTTTTAATACCTGCAAGGAGATACCAGTGAAAATCGTCCAAAGCTCTCCTTCCACCTGAGGAATGTGTGTCCCAATTAGGCTGGGTGGAGGGAAAGACCTCCTCCAGGAGGTCTCTAGCTTCCTCCTCAGGCCTGCCGGCTGATGCAAGGAAGTGCTTTCTGGTCTTTCTTTGGATATGCTCCCTCTCCTCAGAGATAAAGAGAGTTAAAAGGAGCTGTTGGCAGTCAACCTAGGTGGGTCAATGGGTCTGCAGTATGGACTCCTTCAGTGAGGTCAAAGCCTGAGGCTTTTCGGAGAAGGGAGGATTATGATTTTTCTAATTATACAAGTCAGAAGTAGGAAAAGGGGCATAAACCAGGGAGGGGGCTGAGTGTTCATCCCCTGGAGGGACTTGTGCCTCTCTCAGTGGCAGTAGAGGGGCTGCTTCCTCCTGCTGCAGTCACAGCTGAGAGGCAAAGGGTGGTGAGCCCACAGGGGATGTCGTGGAAGAGACATGGGAAGATGCTAGAGGGGCAGGTTGGTTGTAAGGTGGTGGAACTGGGTGAGGGAGACTCTCCTCTTCTTCATAGGGAGGCAAAACAGGGGGAGCTGAATCAGCTGAGGGTCGAGGCAAAAATGCGTCCTGGCTCAGGAGGATTTTGGAGGTGGAGTTGTGAAAGGCACATGAACAGAGCCATGGAGGAGGATTTTTAACCAAACTTAACCATTGATCTATATATGGAAACTGATCAGGGTGGCTGGGAGTTCTGGTAACAACTCGCCACATGCCTTGAACAATGATAGGATTTAATGACCCTTCAGAGGGCCATCCAAATCCAAACTTTGGCCATTCTAGTTCACAGAGTGTCTGGAGCTTGCCTTTTCTAAGGCGGACTCCATAGTCCTCTGAGAAACCAAGAGAAAATTTTTTCAGCATACCCTGGAGAGGGCTCCAAACTTTATAGGGCTGGGAGGAAGTGTTTCCCATTTTATTATTATTTTTATTATTTAAAGGCAATTTAGCAAAGTCTCAAGCAGGGATATCAGATCCAACACGGGCAGAGAAATTCTTTCCCTGGGGGGCTGGAGTGTCGGAAAAACAGAATTAACATGACCAGGAAGAACAACAGAAAAACCACAAAAACTAATACTACTTGCCAAATTTCTGTAGCTTTTAGATTGAGGGAGGGGGATTAGGGGTCAACCCAAGGTCTCCTGGGACGGTTCGAGCTAGGCATTCTCCCTCTTCCTCTTCCTCTAGACCTATATCCTAGATATTTTTGATGTCTCCACGATTCAAAAGCAAACAGTTCAAATTCAGCTTTTTCCCTTAAGGGTTCAAGGAGTGAGAGCAGAGCCAAGTCTTGGAGATGCTGAACTTGCTGTCACACTGGAAAACAAGATGCATGGGGTAGGGGGCAAGGATGAGGGGGAAAAGGACCACTCAGATCATCCTTAAGGTGAGAGCGTAGCCACAGGGGAACAGAATAGGAGTCTAAACGAAGTAAAGCATGACGGTCGTAGGTTTCCCTACACAAGGTCTTATTCAAGGGCACAGGAAAAGTTACAAAATAACAAAAGAGATCAGCAAGAAGGTCTGCAAGGTGGCTGTTTTGAATCCACCACCAGTTCAGTTTACAAGAGGACCAATCACTAGGACGTGGGGTATGACAATCTAAATACCTGCAACCTTAATGGTGCCAGAAATTCCGATCAGGTGAATGTTCTCCACACTCTTTTCCATAACAACACCTTACTTGTTTATGACAGAAAAGACAAGACTGTGGTGGCCAGCCTAAATGATTGATGAGAAATTTAACCTCTTGTGACAAAAAAGCAGCACTAAGGTCCTTGAAGAAATTTTTACCCAGACCTCATGGACAATATCGATGTCCTGACATATAACACCTTGACAACTATTAAACAAGACAATAGACACTGAAAAAAACAATAAACATAAAACAAACAATTGACCCTAGGGCATGTAAACAATTATGACAGTTTTCCCTTTTTTACCTTCTTTATTAGACAGACAAGGGAAGGAGTTCCCGTGATGCTGTCATTCAGATGCCCGCCTGGCTGATCCCCCAGAGGGGACTTGGGCTCCTCTTAGCATCGACAGGCTGGTATAAACCCCTGGCTCAGATCGAGCTATGCCCGGTGCTGCCTTAAGCCTTAGGAGGTCGCCACGGAACCGCAGGTGAGGGCCCACTTGAACTCTGTAGCTTTCACCATAGAGCTACAAACTGGAAGACAAATGCAACCCCTTGTCCTCCCACAGTCACACACCATTTACACAGAGTTTATAACAATTTTTTTCTCTTTTTTTCTTCCTTTTCTTTCCCAGAGATTGTCCAAGAAACCTGAACAACAGAAGGATGTAAGATAGACAAGAGAGAAAGAGAGAGAGAGATCGAGAGTCCGGTCTTCCGGAAACCAAGGCTTAGCTCCCGCCTCCTGGGCCCTGAGCTAAGTCAGTGGAGGGTCCTTGTCAGGACCACTTCCTACCCAAACCAAGATACAAAAGCACCTACCAGAAAACCAAGGCTCAACCCACTAGTGTCCTAGAGTAACAGGCTGAGTCAAAAGAGGGACGCCCTCATCAGGGCCACTCCCCTCTTACCAGAAACGAAGTCAAATCTGACTTACCTGACCCCGGGGTCAGAAGCTGAGGACTCAGATGTTGAATTTTAGGGCAATGACACGGTGGTCGATCCGCTCTCCTCCGGAAGGCAGTTACTCTTCTGGGACCTTAAAAATTATTTCCTCAGGTGGCGCCCCCCATCCAAGCCAGCCGTCCTTCCGGGGGAGCCCAGAGTGAGACCGGCTCTCACCCAGTGGAGTTAATTTCTCACTGGGACCTCCATTATGTTGTATCCAAGCGAGTTAAAAAATATGCCACACTTTGAGACGAATTAAGAGTCCTTTATTAAGCTGGCGGCCAAAGAGATGGCTAATGCTGAAAATTCTCTCGGCCCCGAGGAAGGGGCTTGATTAACTTTTATACCTAGGTTTAGGAAGGGGAGGGGGACTCAAATGCAATAATTCTACAGAAGTAAAAACATGCAAGAATCAAAAGAAGCAAAATGGTTACAGAGAGATAAACCACTTAAAAGACAAATGGTTACAAGAAGAGCAAAGGTACCAGGTGCAAGGTTCTAAATCTTTCATTATAATTAGATATAGAGTCTATAGAAGACATGAACTCAAGGTTTTATGTTGTTATCTCTTTGAGAAAAATCCTGGGAACTTCATACATTGTTGGTGTTAGTACCTTATCAGTTAATTGGACTCCTTTGAAATGCTGAGGATCTGTTTACCCAGGCCAACTCCTTACAAAAGGGGGTTGGGAAAGGAGCCCTTAGTGTCTTGTAAATTAAGGGGTCAGTTGGAGTTTGTCTGGCCTTCCCAGCTACAGAGAGTCTTATTTACATGAGAAGCAAGGATAGGTGATTAAAGAGACAAGCAGGACAAAATTCAAAGTAATGAGTTAGAGTAAAAACAAGGTTAGGCATTTCATTAATATCAAAAAATCTGCTCATTATCAGATACTGAAAGATAAAGTGAATGAATCTGTTTCAGCTTTTCTGGTTAATTAAACTACCATCAGAGAATACTATAAACACCTCTATGCAAATTTTGTGATATTTAAAAACAATATACATGATATGTTTGTTCCGTATATTTTTAATGATTCTTTCACAAGAGCTGGTTGGCCTTATTTCTTTACTCAAGCAGATTCTTAATGTCATAACATCAGCTAATTATCAGATACTGAAAGATAAAGTGAATGAATGTGTTTCAGTTTTTCTGGTTAATTCAGTTTTTCTGGTATATTTAATCTTATTTGTATAATCTTTAAGTTTTACTGAGGAAGACTAGAATACTTTTTTTAATTTTTGTCAAGTATAAAAGCATATTCATAATGTCACTTTTATAGACACTAAGAATATCAATTGTCAAGTGTGTTGATTTCTAAGATAAAATATTTGAGAATTACATTACCCAACATGTCCAAAAAATGTTTTTAAGTTGTCTGTTTACAAAATCTGTTAATTTTGATTTGCTTACCAAGATAACTTTTTTTTAAGATTGAGGATAAGATAGAAAATAATTTATACAAATACTGCAAACTAAGTTCACTGAAATTATTTACTTATTTAAGAAACTTAATTACATTCTAAATAAATTGCTATCACCTGTTAGTATTTTTGTAGCATATATTTTTAAGATTTTGCCTCTAAAACAGGTAACAATTTGAACAAAGGAGGAAACAAAAATTCAATGATTGGCATAAAAAATAAATTTCAGAAAAATAAAAGTTTTGTATGATGATCTAATTAAAATAAGGGAAAGGATAAAAGTTGTAATATTTCCTTTTTCACATTCTGTGGCAAAATCAACTATGAGATAACAATGTGCAGAAAATGCTAGTAATTATATTTTTGAAAACTTCTTACTGACTTTGGCTGTTAGGTAACCTTCAGCACAGGCTCAGGATTCCCTGTGCATTTCTTCCAGGAGAACATCCAATGGAAATGAAGGACAAGATCAAATCCAAAAAGATAAATGGATGCTCACCACCTACAGAGCAGTGGGTGCAGGTTGCAGATAGAGTAAACCATTCTTAGAGGCCCAGAAAAGGGATATGGGCACTGACTTAGAAAACGGGCCTGGAAATACACTGAGACCTCCTACCTAGGTGCTCTGTCCTGTCTGCCCCAGGCCCTTGTGTTCTGCCTCACCTGCTGGCTATTTCCACAAAGAAATCAGGATGGCAACCCCCAATAAAGTCCCACTAGAGGAAAGAGATCAAGAGTATCAAGGCCCACACCCACCTTGGCACATTAAGTGAACTATAGATTTACTAGTCAATAAGTTGGAGAAGAATGTGCTGTTGTTACCCCCTGAGATCATAATCTAGGAGGAAATCTGGATGACAGCTCCCTGAGGCTGTGCATGGGAGGAAAGATGGACAGGCCACATGGACTTCAGTGAGCATGTGCCCCTTGCCAACCCAGGAAGACATGGGCTTGACAAGAGCAGGTAATAAGGGTGGCATATAGCAGACATGCTGAGCTATCCAGTGCACACAGAGGTGTTGGCATGAGTGATCCCTGTGGGGGAGAACCCTCTCAGGGCCCTGAACTCATCCCAGAAATCCCCCAGCATTTTGAAGCACAGGCTATACCTGGAGCTGTAGGGTGGGTACTGTGTGGTGGCCTGGTAAAAGTGGGGTGAACAGCCAGTCACTGAGGGGCTTTCATTGTTCATTTTTCTGATGATTATATTGAGCCCCCAAAGCCACAAGCCAGGATAGGCAAAAGCACTGGGCTGAGGCATGAACTATTTTCTTCACTGGCTCCCATAAGCCTGACACCTGCCTGGGCTTGTATTAAAATTCCCTAGGATTGCCTTGAGGAAGAAGATCCCTCTTCCTTGTGAGTGTAGGCACAGACACAACCAGTCACGTGTGGTAAGCCCACCCACAGCCACATTTGTTGGCCTACCTGGGCCTCCTCACTCTATTGGCCTGTGAAACCGAACAGGCCAGAACTTACATTTGGTTCTAGAACCAAAGAGTTCAGCACCGTGGCCAGAGCAGAAGTGGGCCTGTTAATTCCTTGGTACACAGCCCAAATCAGAGAACTGGCTTGGCTGTTCAGCTGCATGCAAATAGTATGTATACTGTTCCAAACAGGTTCTGTTATCTTCCTGCCTCCAATTATTTCACTTGCAACTTGCCATTTATACCAGCTCTTTCTCTAACCCCCACATCCTATGGTTTTTGAAATTCCTCTGAAGTGTTGCAGGAGCTGAGCTATAGGGGTCACAGTGCTCTATCCTACACAGGCTGCACCAGGAAGATAGATCTGTCAACCTACCTTGACACTTAAGTATCATGTATAAATAGCCCCAACTCTAGGAAGAATTCTGTCACATATTCACATTCTTTTCTGTTCTCCATACCAAAAGATATGTTAGAATGACAAGTAAAATAAGAAATAAACCAAGCAGTTCTGTTTTTTAAAGGGCAACATCAGCCGGTTCACCTGAACCACAATTTAAGGGTCTCGTTGAGCATGTCCCACCATGGAAAATAGTTGAACTGGGGCCCCAGAATGTCATGCCCCAGTAAAAATCTGGTAAAGGGGCACCTCAGCAGCCTGTATACACTTGCAGCTGAAAGAGACGCTGCCAACTAAGAAGCCATCTCATTAACTTAGACAACCATACAGCAATGTGCACACACATAAGACCTTTTAGATAAACTCCTGTCAAACCAACTATTCAAGAAACAGCAAAAACTTTTTTGAATCTAGAGTCTCAGAAAGAAGAATCTCCATTGCCTGAACCGGCCTGTGTGGTGGATGCAACTGACAGTGTTAACTTGACTTTAGCATAGCTGAAGACTGATACTATATAAAAAATTCATCTTAGTGTTCAAGTTCCAACCTAAAAAATCTGGCAGTGGCCTGGCCATGTGCAGTGGCTCATGCCTGTAATCCCAGAACTTTGGGAGGCCAGGGTGGGTGGATCACCTGAGGCTGGGGTTTCACCAGCCTGACCAACATGGTAATGCTGCCTCTCTTAATAATACAAAATTAGCCGGGTGTGGTGGCACATGCTTTTAATTCCAGCTACTTGGAAGGCTGAGGCAAGAGAATCAATTGAACATGGTGGGCAGGGTTTGTGGTGAGTTGAGATTGGGCCATTGAACTCCAGCCTGGGCAACAAGAATGAAACTCTGTCTCATTCACTGGTTCTGAGTTTCTTCTTTTGACATATTAAACCTGGTACCATTTACATCAGTGTCAAATTTGACACAACTTATCCAAAAGTGAGGAAGAATTCAGGCTCTGCTCAATGTGCTTCAAAGCTCACTAAGGCATAATATATAGAAAAATGCTGTTACTGTCTTTACTACTCTCATCCAGGTCTCTTTTCATTGGACGCAGATTTAGTGGAATACCAAGAGAGATGAACAAGAAACACATCATGATCAGATGCAAGTTTAATGTCAGGATAAGCAGTGACCACTTGTAAAGTGAAAGGAAGCACTTTGCTTTTTCCTGTGGGTAGCCCTTAACTTCTCTCTTCATTTTCTGGCTTCAGTAATAGTTTTTGAGCTTCATCCTGCTTCTAAAGGAACCCTGAGCCATGGGTAGTAAACGCCTTCACATAATCCTTGTGCAACAGAGCTTTATCTTGACAAATATGATCTCTGTGATCATGATCTTATAAGAAATATGAAAAATGCACAACCTAAAAACCTATGAATGGGAGATGCGTAGGTCTCAGGGAAACAATTTTCTACTCTATTCATTGGCAAGTTGAAACAACTCTGACTATAAACAAATGTGCAGAAAAGGATAGCATAATATAACTCCTCATCATGTGAGTTTAGAACCAAGAGTTTTCAATCCTAGCTTTGAGAGCACCCAATTAAAACCAGAAGTTACTTCACTGTGCACCTATCAATGATTGATTGAACAACATTCTTTCAATCATACTGAGGAGTATTCTATGAGGATTTTCCCATTGAACATATGTGATACTCCTGTCTTGGCTGTTCTCTCAGTAAGGATTGTGACATATCCCTGCATCTAAAACCCAAGTGATGATACATTCTTGCCTGGGCCACACCCACAGAAATAATTATGACATCTCTGGAATGGGTCCTGAAAACAGCGGGTGGTAATGACATATTGCTAGGCTGGCACTAAGATTGTAGCACTCTTTTGCCAGGGTTATATTTCAGGGAGGAGATTGTGACATATTTCTGGTCCTATCAAGTAAGTGATGTAGCTCAATGCTTTGGCCTCTTCCACATAGGACATTGTGAAACGAATGTTATACTTGCATCAAGGCAATGAACTCTTTCAACTTGGTTCATCCTAAGGGAACTTGCAACATATATCGGGACCCAGCACCCAGGTGCTCTGGCTCCTCTGCCTGATTTCTGCCTATGTGTTATATTGTGACATATAATTAAAGAAGCACCTAGGTGATACGACTCTTATTTTCTGCCTGAGTCCTGCCTACTGGGGATATTGGTACATGTCTCTGAGCCATGACCTAAGTGATATGACTCTTTTATGCTGCCTGGGCCTTTAATATGGTGGGATAGTGGCATATTGGTGAGCTCAGCATTTTGGTCTTTTGACTCTACTCTTTTCTATGAACCATGCCCAGAAAGGGAAATTTTGACCTATTGCACACAGATGATGTTACTCTTCTGCCAGAGACCTCAATAAAGTGAGAATTATTGCATACTGGGAGGCATATCACCCTGATGATGATACTGTCCTGTCTGTGCCAGAGGAACAGAGAGTATTTTTGACATATCTTTGGCTCATTCTGTAGGTGTTTTGGCTTTAATCTCTTGGCTGACTGTTGAGATTGTGACTCCTCTGCTTCAACCCAACTCACAGGAGGTGTCAACTCACGTACAAAAAGCCAGGACATTTGTGGAACTGGAAGCACATTTCTAAATATTCAATTTGGTTTGATTAGAATATAAAAGTTATTCCAGCTTCTGAATAATTTGGCTTTCCATTTTAGGCCATGATGACAGATGCAATTGTGACATACGTGGGCCATGCACATAAGCAAAGTTGTCTGAGACTGCCTAAAAAGAGCACTTTTACATATCACTGTGACCAGCACCCAGGTGATGTGAATTATTTGCCTTACCCCTGCATATAAAAAGCATTCTGGCTTATATTTAGGTTCATTTTGTAGTGACATGACTCCATTTTACTGCCTTGAGACTGCACTTATAGTTCATTGTGACACATAACTGGGTACTGTACCCAGGTAATGTGACTCTGTTTTGGGTCCTGCCAACAGAAAGCTTTGTTAACATATCACTTGGCTCAGAACCTAGGTGATGTTTCTCCACTGTTGCCTCACCCTGATCACAGAGAAGATTGTGGCATATTGTTAAACCATTGGTAAGGTGATGTCACTTTCATACTTTTGTTTTGCACATAGTGGCCATTGTGATATACTTTTATGGCATGTTGCTGGGACCCCAACCCTGATGATATAACTCTCTGGACTGTGCCAGAGAAACAAAAAAAAATGGCATTGTGACATATTGCTTGGCAGAACAACAAAGTTGTCCTGCCCTCCTGACAAGCTTTTTTCTTACAAATGCGATTGTGAAATTTACATTGTTTGAATTCAGAAGCATGCTGATCAAACTTAAATTGGTATGCCACATATAGTAGATATTTTGCCTCTCATCGCTACACTTAGGGCAATAGGTACTGTTATGAGTTGCATATTGGAATAAAGCTCACAGAAAGTTACAACATTAACTCATATTCTAAAAACTCCTTGGGTGGTACACAGTTTGATAACAGGGCCCAGGAAAAGGTGAGGATTCTGACCTTGATTACCTAGCCAGGTGATAGCAAAATGTGTCACCCTCCCACATTTAGCAAACCCAGTGTTGAAGTCCTGAGTCTAACATGTAAATAAAGAACACAGATGGAATTGTGACTTTCATATGTGGATCTTGCTATAGGTGAGATGGTAACTCATTTCTGGACCCAAATCACAGGTGTAATAGTGGGTCTCATATCTGAACTTAGCCTATAAGAGACATGTTGACCGTCCTATCTGGCTTTAAATAAATATTTAAGATTGTGAGTCAATATAAGCATGTAGGCCTCAGAGTGGTTTGCAACTCTCCTGCATGTTGCATAAAGCCTTCGGATGTTGTAGTGTGTCATACAATGACTCAGAACACACATGAGATTGTGACTTTTATATACACACCAAGCTAACAGTTAAAGGTGTCACTTGAAAGATGATAAAATTATTTTATTTCACAAGGCCAATATCCCTAGGAGTTGAGAATTTTTAGCTTAAATTCTTTTCCATGGGTGCAATTTAAATTATTGTTAGGTTGGATTCATAATACTGTGACTCTTCTGTTTGGACTCAGGCAACAGGGGATATTATCATATATTTCTGGGCCTATCAGCTGGATGATGTATCTCTCCTCCCAGTGCCCTGCCCACAGGTTACACTGTGATATATCACTATATGTAGCAACTAGGTAATGTGACTCTTTGCTCTTGCCTGGATCCTCACCACTGAAGACATTGTGAGATACAATTGTGTGCAAAACCTAGGTGAATTGACTCTCCCCTTTGTCCTGGACTCTACAAAAAGAGGGAATAATAACATATTGCTGAGCACAGCACCTAGTAAGTGTGACTACCCAACATTTTTTTCAATGCTGTATACAGTGGGCATGATGACATATTATTTGAGATTGTACACAGATGAAAAGACTATCTGACTGGGTCCTGACTACAGAGGAGATTATAATGTACCCCTCACTAAGCATGCAGATGATGTGACTCTTCTGTCTTGTCTTTGTCCAAAGGTGAGATTGTGATATATAACTGGATTCAGCTCATATGCATAGTAATAACTCTCATACCTAGACCCAGCCAGGGGTGATATTTTGACTCTCATAGCCAGTCTTACGGCCATGGAAAAAATCCTAGATCCCTCACCAGTAAGAATTCACAGAAAAGTATGCTGCTCAGGCATATTATACCAAGCCTGAGTGGTACAAACTGTGTCATAATAGACACCAACAACCAGGTGATATTGTGACTCTTGGATGCTGCCCCAGCAGACACCATTGTCATTCTCACACATAAACAGAGCCTACAAATGAGGTACTAAATCTCTCACACATAAGCAGTCGAAGATTGAAATTGTTCTCATATATGAATCTGACCCACAGGTGGTTTGGTGATATTTGAACCATGATTCACAAGTCCTGTAGTGCTTTGATTCTCCTACTGGAATACAATCTTCAAGTGGGACTGGGGATCTTCTGACTGAATCTTGGCTATTGTTGAGATTGTGACTCCTGAACTTCAATCCAACTCATAGAAGGTGTTCGCTCTCAAACACAAAGCCAGGACTTTTGTGGTACTGTGAAACTTATTTCTGAATATTTTTGAGTTTGTGATTGACAATTATGACTTGCCTACCATCTGAGTGTTTTCAGTCTCCTACCAAGGCCCAGAGCACAGTTGAAATTGTGACACATGAACATCAAGTATCTAAGCAATGTATAACACCTTCTATGGCCATGTGCCAAAAGACACATTTACAAGTCACTTGGACAAGCACCCAGCTGATGTGAAATCTTAGCCTGAACACTGCCTACAGCTAGCATTTTGGCTTTTATCTAGGTCAATCATGTAAGTGCTGTGACTTACTTATACTGCCTTGGCCCTGTAGTTCTGGTGCATTGTGACACATAACTGGTTATTGCACCCAAGTTGTTTGGTGGTTTTTTGAGGGGGGTTCTCCCAATGAAAAGCTTTGTAACTTACCACTTGGTTCAGCAACTATGTAATCTTTCTTTTCTCTTGCCTGAGACCTGTCCAGCACACAGATTGTGACATATTGCTAAACTCAGCATCAAGGTGAGGTTACTCTCCTGCTTTGATCCTTCACACAGGGGTCATTGTGACATATATTCAGGACAAATGAAGAGGTGAAGTTTATCTTGTCTCTTGCCTAAACCCTCCCCACAGGGAGGATTTGGATATATCACAGAAACCAACATCCAGTTGATGTGACGACTCTTCTAGAGTCCTTCCCACAAGGAAGATTGTGACATTTCACTGGTCCTGAACCCACTCAGGTGAAGTGACTTTGCTTTCTTCTCCTTGACAACAGGTGATGTGGTGCCAAATACCTGAGACCAAATCAAAGGCCTTATGATGACTCTTGTACCTGGAGCCAGGAGGAGCAGGCTGGTGACTCTCATCCCTGATTATTTCCATGGGTGTTATTGTGACATTTACCTTTGCCCACCTGTTGAGTGATTTGATAATTTTTCCTAGTAATAGCCCACAGATGACATTTTAAATTATACCTGGGTCAAAAACCTCACTTATTTTACTCTTGTGTCTTAACAGTGTCCTCAAATAGGATTCTAACATATCTTTGGACCCATCATCTAGGTTATGTGACTCTCCTCTCCTGCATGAACACTGCTTCCAATGAAGAGTGTAGAGTTTGTAAGCACTGAATCCAAATGGCCTGATTTTATTGTCTAGGCCTTTCAACAGGAGGCAATGTGACATACGTCTGGCACCATCATTTAGGTGATATGACTCTCTTCTCCTGCCTGGACAGTCTCCACAAGAAGCATTATGTCATACAGCTGGGCCCAGTGCCCAAGTTTTGTGACTTTTCTATTACACGTCTGTAAAGAAAATATTGGAATATTTCTGGCTTAGAATTTATGTGATGTGTTTGTCCTGCTTGTTTAAGAACCACAGAGGTGAAGTTGACATATACCTATGCACAGCTAACAGGCATGATAATGACTGTCATATGTGGATCAAGCCAATAGAAATTTTGCCTTTGCCAAGCACCTGTGTGATTTCACTCTTCAGACTGGATGCTGCTGTATATGAGACTTTGATATCTACTTGGACCAAACTTGGAGTGATGTGACACTTCTGCCTGGGCCCTGCTCTCAGTAAGTATTGTGACATCACTGGATCTAGCACCCATGTGAAAACACATTCTTGCCTGAAACCTGATCACAGACATCATTGCGACATATCAGTTTTTCCACTAGTTAGAAATTTCAACTCTCCTCCCTGGAATAAGCCCTGAAGTAAAAGCAGGATAGTCACATGTTCTTAGGTCAGGCACAATGATGATGATACTCTTTTGCCAGTTCCATGCCCAAAAGAGAGGATTTTTACATATCACAGGGCCTATCTCATACGTGATATGGCTCTTCTGTTTGGGACCTGCCCACTTGAATAGTGAAATAATGCTAGGTCAGGCACAAAAGTGATGGTTCTCTTATGCTAGGGTCATGCTTTAAGCAAGGCTTTGTGACATATCTCTGGGTCTATCACCTAGGTGATGTGAGTTATGATTTGGCCCTGCCCACATGGAGCATGGTGACATAAGAGTGAAACCTGCACCTGGGTGATGTAACTCTCTTGCCTGGATCCTTTTTGTAAAGAGGGGTCATGTGAATATTTCAGGACCCAGGACTAGGTGATATGGCTCTTCAACCTGGTTTCTGCAAACATATGAAATTGTGACATATACTTAAAGAAGTACATTTGTGATATGACTCTCTTTTCCTTCCAGAGCCTTGTCTACTGGTGACATTGGGCCATATCTCTGAGTCAAAGACGTTTGTGATGTGACTCTTCTCTTCTGTCTGGGCTTTTCGAATTGGAAGATTGTGACATGTTACTTTTCTCCCTAGGTTGTGCACAAATTGGAAATTGTGGCATATTGCTTATCCCAGCAACCTAATAATGTGACTCTTCTGCTTGTGACAGAGCCACAGAAAATACTTTGACTTTACTTTGGTTCATTTTGTAAGTGTTTTGGCTCTCATAACTTTGCTGGGTTTCTTCCATCTGTGGTTGTATCATATTGCTGGCTCCAGCCTTTAGTTAATGTGATCCTGTCTCCTAGTTGCTGCTTAAAAGTGTGACATATTGCTTAGTAAAGCACCTAAGTGATGTAAAAATTCTGCCTAGATTTTTTTTGTGCATAAATGGGATTAGAACATATACTGTGATTCATTTCAAAGGCATAATGATCAACCCTATTTTAAAATTCATACAATAGGAGATATTTTTCTTCTCACTGCTTGGTTTAGGTCAATAGGTAAGGTTATTCATTGCATTTTGATACAAAGTTCACAGAAGTTTACAACACTAACTCATATCATGAAAACTTCTTGAGTGTTACAGAAAGTTTCATAACAGAGCCCAGCAAAAGTTATAGTTGTGGCTGTTGACTACACACTCAGGTCAAAGTAAAAGTTGTTACCATCCTACATTTACAAAGCCTATTGTTGAAGTCCTGAGTCTATCAAGTGAATACAACACCAACTTGAAATTGTGAATTTTGTAAGTGATTCTGGCCCACAGGTGGGTAGGTGACTCATTTCTTGACCCAGCTAGCAGGAATAATAATGGTCTCATCCCTGAAGCCAGCCTATAGGAGAGATGTTAATTGTAATACCTGGGTTTAGGGAAATATGTAAGATCGTGACTCCACATCAGTGCATACACTTCACGGAGCTTTACAACTCTTACACATGTTGTATAAAGTACTCGGATGTTGTAGAGAGTGTCACGCAATGGTCAGTAAACGTGGGATTGTGACTGTCATATACACAACTATTTAACACTTACTGGTGTCAACCTTAAAGATGAAAATATTATGTCATATGTCTTTGCCTAGTTTGCTGGTGTTGAGACTTTTTGGTATAAATTCCTTTTCATAAGGGCATTGTTAAATATCACTGGGTCAGAATCATGATAATGACTCTTCTCCCTGGGCCCTGCCAACAGGTGATATTTTCCCATATCTCTGGGTCTATAGGCTAGGTGATATGGCTCTCCTGCCAGTGCCCTGTCCACAGGGTACACTGTGACATATCAATAAATATAGCATCAGGGTAATTAGACTCTCCTCTCCTGCTTGGTGCTGTCCACTGATGAAATGTTGACATACAACTAAGTGCAAAACCTAGATGTCATTACTGTCCTCTTTGTCCTGGAATCTTCCAAGAAAGGAAGTTACTGCATATTGTTGAGCCCAACACCCACATTTGGTAAATATCTTTTTTCCTTATAAACCGGTCTACATTGGGCACGGTAACATATTACTTGAGTCTGTACCAGATGATATGGCTCTCCTGCCTGGTTTCTGTCCACATGTTAGATAGTTACATGTAATTAAGGAAGCTCCTAGTTTATATTACTCTCATTTTCTGCATGGTCCCTGCCTACTGGGGACACTGGGATGTATCTATGAGCCCATGATCTAAGTGAAGTGACTCTATTTTTCTACTTGGTCTTTAAAATGAGGGGATTGTGACCTATTGCTGAATTATTGAGTTATTTGATACTCCTTTCTTTTTCAAACCATACCCCCAAACAGAAATTTTCACCTATTGCAAGGCCCAACATGCAGATAATGTTATTCTTTTGCCTGGGTCCTGCATATAGTGCAAATTAATGCATATAGAAAGAATCATGCTGGGCCCACCACCCTGATAATGTTACTCTCAGGAATGTGCCAGAGCCACAGAAGGTATTTTGACATATTCTGAGCCCATTGTGTAGGTTTTTTGGTCCTCATAAGTTGTCTGGGTTTTTTCCACATGTGGGATGGTGTCAATTACTGAGTTCAGCACCCAGGTAATGTGACTCCAATTCCTATAGTCTGCCTGAAGAGGGCAATGTGATATAGTGCTTGGCACAGCACCTAAGTGACATTACCCTTCTTCCTAGATTTTCCCACAAATGGGACTATGACATATACCTGACTTCAGTTCACAAGCATGATGGTAAAACTTGTACTGGGAGTCAGCCAATAGAAGATATATTGTCTTTCATTGTTATGCTTAGGGCAATAGGTTAGGTCTTGCATAGCAAAATTGTACAAAGCTCACAGAAATTTACAACACTATCTCATAATGTGTATACTCCTGAGTGATATGGAGAGTTTCAAGAGATCGACCAGCGAAAAGACCAGATTGGGATTCTCGATTACACATTGAGGTGAAAGAAAATATTGTCACCATCACACATGTCCAAAGCCCAATGTTAAGTTCCTGAGTTTAACAAGTGGATACAGTACAAAGTTGGAATTGTGAACTTCATATGTGGATCTGGCTATAGGTGGGATGGTGACTCATTTCTGGATCCAGGTCACAGGCATAATAATGAGTCTCATTCCTGAATTCAGCCTACATGAGAGATGTTGACTCTTATAACTGAGTTTAAGGCAATATGTAACATTGTGAATCCATTTGAACAAGTAGGCCTCAGAGTGGCTTGCAACTCTCTAGCATGCTGTTTAAAGACTTTAAATATTGTGGATTGTCATACCATGGCCGGAAAACAAGTGAGATTGTGATGGTCATATACACATGCAGCTCACAGTACAATATGTCACCCTCCAATACAAGGAGATTTGGCGTATTACTAGGGCTAGTACCCAGTTGTTGAGACATCTCGGCTTAAATTCCTTCCCATGGCTGCATTGTGACATATCAGTGGGATAGAATATTAATAATATGACCCTTCTGCTTGGGCCCTGCCAACAAGGGATATTATCACATATCTCTGGGCCTATAAGGTAGATGATTTTTTTTCTCCTGCCTCTGCTCTGCTCCCACAGGACATTGTAAAATATCGTTTGACTTAACATCTACGCAATATGACTCTCTTCTCCTGTCTGTTTCCTGCTCACCCAAGAAATTGTAACATAGCAGTCATTTTGAAATCTGTATGATATGACTCTCTTTTATATTCTAGAGTCTGCCAAGAGAGGGGCTAATTACATATTGCAGATCCCAGCACTTAGATGGAGTGACTCTCCCCTTTTCTTCTACCCTGTATATAGTGTGCTTGATGATATACTATTTGAGACAGTACCCAGGCAATGCGGCTCTTCTGAATAGGTCCAACGTATGACTGAGATTATACTGTATTACTGGCTCAGCTTCCAAGTAATGAGACTCTCCTCCCTTGTTTCTGCTCACAGTGGAAATTGTGACATATAGCTGAGTTAAGCACACATGTGCAAAAATAACTCTCATACCTACACCTAGCCACTAGAGATATTCTGACTATCATATTCAGTCTCACTGTCATGGGTGAAGTCTTAAATTTTTCACTTGTATAAAATTCAAAAAGAATTATAACACTCAGATATATCATATGAAGCCTTAATGATACAAAGAGTGTCATAACAGAGACCAGCAACCAAGTAGGAATGTGATTCTTGTATGCACACCTAGATGATACAATTATCATTCTCACACATGAAGAGAGTCTAGAAATGAGGTGCTAAATGAAACACATAAAAAAGGGTTGAAGGCTGTGAAAATTACTCTCATACATGGATCTGATTCACAGGTGGTTTGGAAACATTTGAACTACGATTCAGCACAACTGTGGTGCTGTGACTTCCCTACTGGAACAGTCTTAAAGTGGAATTGGGGCTCATATACATGGATCTTGCCCATTTTTTAGATTGTGACTGTTCTATCTCGACCCAACTCATAGAGAGTGAAATTACATACATGAAACCAGGACTTCTGTAGGATATTTCTGAAACTTTCTGAGAGTGTGATTGGGACTGGTAACTTTGCTTAGCACATGGATAATTTGACCCTCTTTTCTAGGCCCAGACCATAGATAAAATTGGGCCATATGTGTAACAAGCAACTAAGCAATGTGTAACAACTTCCCTGGCTCTGCCTAAAATGGCACTTTTTAAATATAACAGGGGCCATTTCCTAAGTGATGTGAATTATCTCCCTGAAATCTGTGTACAAAGAGAATTATGTTTTACACCTGGGTCCATCATGTAAGTGATGTGAATCCCTTCCACTGCCTTGGCCCTGCACTTGCAGTGCCATTGTGACATATAAGTGGGTACTCCTTCTAGTTAAAGTGATTCCCCTCTTTGAGTTCTGCCAAGAGGAAGCATTATAACATATCACTTGGCTCAACACCTAGGTGATGTTTCTTCACTTTGGTCTGGGCCCTGACCACAGGGAGATTATGACATATTGCTGAGACCAGCACCAATATGAGGTGACTCTCCAGCCTTGATACTATACATAAGGTGCATTTTGACATATATCTAGGACAATTGCCTAGGTGATGTGTGTCTCATTTCTGCAAAATTCTACCCACCGAATCAGTTTTGATATGACACTGAAATCAGCATCTAGGTGATGTGACTGTTTAGCCAGGGTCCTGCCCACAAGGTGGATTGTGATATCTCTCTAGACCTGCACCCACATATGTGATGTGACTTTCTTGCCTTCTTTCTGGCCACAGGTGATATTGTGTCCATATACCTGAGACCATAATAAAAGCATAATAACAACTCATGTACCTGGAGCCAGGACACGTGCAGGATGGTGACTCTTATTTTAAACTTTTACACAGTGAAATTTTGACATATACCTATGCTCAGCCCCTGGATAATTTAATGTCTGTCTAGGTATAGACCACAAATGAGATTTTGACAAATACTTGGGCCAGAAACTTTGGTGATTTGACTGTGCTATCTTAACAATGTCCTCAAGGGGGAATGCAACATATTTCTGGACCCATCATCTAGGTTACATGACTCTCCTTTTCTGCCTGTACCCTGCTTCCTTTGCTAATTTCATCATTTATAAGAACTGGTACCATATGATATGACTCTCTTGCCTGGACTCTGTCAACAGAAGGCATTGTAACATATTTTTGCTCCCATCATTTATGTGATATGACTCACCTCTCCTGACTAAACACTGCCAACAATGGACATTGTGCCCCTTAGCTGGACCTATCTTAGATGTTATGTGACATTCTTGACAGAACAGTGCCTACAAAGAGATATTTGGAATATTTCTGGTCCAGCATTTAGGTGACATGGCTGCTCTGCCTCCTTCATAAACACAGAAGAAATTGTAACATATCCCTAGGCATGGCTCACAGCCATCATCATGGCTGTAATATATAGACTCAGCCAATAAAAGATATTTTGACTCGTCACTAGGTTTAGGGACATGCATGATGTCCTGGGTCACCTTGTCATACAAAGCCCACAAAAGATTACAACATTCACACATATTTTACAAAGTATTTGGGTTATACAGAAAGAGTCAAAGCAGGGTTCATAACTGGTGAAATTGTGAATCTTGTATGGGCACACCCAGCTCACAGTGAGCACTGTCATCATCTCAAATGGATAAAGCCAACTATCACGCATGAAAACAGGACATGTGTGGTATTCTTATTTAGAATTTTCTGACAGTGTGATTGTGATATAAATATTTGTGAAGCACCTGTGTAATTTGACTCTCCAGACTGTTTTCAGTCCATATATGGGAGTGTGATATTTATGTAGGCTAACCTCCAGGTGATGTGACTCTCATGCCTGGGCATTTCTCTTAGGATTGTGACATATCACTGGATCTAGCACCTATGTGATGTTACATGCTGGTCTGCCCAATGCCCACCAAAATTATTGTGACATATTTCTGTGCCCACCTCACAGTTGCTGTAACTCTCCTCTGTAGAATGGACCCTGCACAAAGGAAGTATAGTAACATATTGCAAGGCCAGGCACATGGGTAAGGGTATTCTTTGGCCAGAGCCATGCCCAAAAGAGGGTACTGTGATATACCTCTGGGTCTATTACCTAGGTTATGTGGCTTTTCTACTTTGGCCCAGCCAACTTGGAGAGTGACATAATTCTGGGCTAGGCACACAGGCGATGGTGCTCCTTTGCCAAGACTATGCTTCACAGAGGACATTTTGACATATATCTGGGCCTATCACCTAGATGAAGTGAGTCCCTCCTTAGGCCCTCCTGACATGGAGCATTGTGGCATAAGCAGAGAACCTGCACCAAGGTGATGTAATTCTTTTGCTTGGGTGTTGTCCTAAGAGAGCCTTGTGATATATCTCAGGATCCAGCATTCAAGTGCTGTGGCTCTCCTGCCTGGTTTCTGCCCACATGTTACACTATGACTTTCCTAGGGAAACATCTAGGTGATATGGCTCTCCTCCTGTTTCTGAGCTTTGCCTTCTGGGGACATTTGAACATATCTCTGAACCCATGACCTAAGTGTTGTGACTCTCTTTTTCTGCCAAGCCTTCACAATAGGAGGATTTTGACACATTGTTGAGACCAGCACTCAGGACATGTGACTCTTCTCTTTTTCTGCAACCAAGCCCACACAAAGAAATTTTGACCTATTGCAGGGCCCAACATCCAGATGATGTTACTCTTCTTCCTGGGTTCTGCAGAAAGGAGAAATTATGGCATGTAGCATACTGCATATTGCTGTGTCATGTACATTTATGATGAGACTTTCCTGCCTGTGCAGGAGCCAGCCAAGATATTGTGACATATCCTGGACTCACTATGTATGTGATTTGGCTCCCTTAACATGGCTGCTTTTTTTTTTTCACATATGGAATGCTGTCATATTGCTGGGTCCAGAACCCAGTTAATGTGACCCAATTTTATGCACCCTGCCTAGAGAAGACATAGGGACATATTGCTTGGCACAATACCTAGGTAGATATTATGCTCCTGCCCAAAGTTTGCCCGTAAATGGGATTAAGACATATACCTTGCTTCAGTTCACAGTTCACATGTATGATGATCAAACTTATATTGGGTTACAGCCAACAGGAGATATTTTGCTTTTTATCATTGAGCTAAGGGCAATAGTTAAGGTCCTGGTTTGCATACTTGTACCAATCTCACAGAAATTTACATCACTAACTTGTACGGTATAAACTCTCTGGTGGTAGGGAGGGCCTTTAGAGGTATCAGGGCCCAACAAAAGTTCAGATTGTGATTCTTGACTACACATTCAGGTGAAATTAAAAGTTGTTACCATCCTACATTTACAATATCCACTGTTGAGGTCCTGAGTCTAACAATGGAATACAGCACAAAGTTGGAATTGTGACTTTTTTTTTTTTTTAAATGGAGTCTTGCTGTGTCACCCGGGCTAGAGTGCAGTGGCACCATCTCAGCTCACTGCAAGTTCCGCCTCCTGGGTTCACACCATTCTCCTGCCTCAGCCTCCCAAGTAGCTGGGATTACAGGCTCCCACTACCATACCCGTCTAATTTTTTCTATATGTATTTTTAGTAGAGATGGGGTTTCATGGTGTTAACCAGGATGGTCTCGATCTCCTGACATCGTGATCTGCCTGCCTCAGCCTCCCAAAGTACTGGGATTTCAGGCGTGAGCCACCACGACTGGCCCAGATCATAGGCATAATAATGGCTCTTTTCCCTTAACCCTGCCTATAGGAGACATGTTTACTATCAAACCTGGGTTTAGAGTAATATATAAGATTGTAATTTTATATGAGTTTGTAGGCCTCTGAAAGATTTGTAACTCTCATGCAGATTTTACAAACCCCTTGGATATTGTAGAGAGTTTCATACATTGGCCCAGGACACACATGAGATTGTGACTCTACTATACATGCTCAGCTAAAAGTTAAAGGTGTCGCCTTCAAAGATGAGGAGTTTGTGTCATATCACTGGTGCTATTACCTGGGTGTTGAGGCTTTTTGGCCTGCATTCTTTCCCATAGGTGACTTGTTACATATTGCTGGGTCAGAATAATAATAATTTGACTTTTCTGCTTGTACCCAGACAACAAAGAATATAATCACATATTTCTGTGCCTATGAGCTAGGTGATGTGTTTCTCCTGCCAGTGCCCTTCCCACAGGTAACATTGTGACATATCACTAGATATAGCACCTAGGTAATGTGAATCTCCTTTCCGTCCAGGATACTGCCCACTGAAAAAATTATGACATAACACTGAGTGCAAAAGCTAAGCAATGTGACTGTTCCCTTTGTTCTGGACTGTGCCAAGACAGGGAATTATAACATATTGCTGATCCCAGCAAGTAGAAAATGTGACTATCTATAATTTTTCAACCCTGTGTATTGTGGGAAGGATGACATATTTTTTGAGACTGTAACCAGGGCATATGACTCTTCTGACAGGGTCCTGATTAAAAAGGGGATTACAAAGTATCCTTGGCTAAGAACGAGATGATGTGATTCTTCTGTATTGTCTCTGTCCAAAAGTGAAATTGTGCCATATACATGGATTCAGCGCATATACACAATAATAACTAATACATGGGCCCAGCCAAGGGAAATATTTCCACTCTCATAGCCAGTCCTATGGTCATGAGTAAAGTCCTAGATCTCCCACTTGTAAGAATTCACAGAAAAGTATGTGACTCTGTCATACTCTACAAAGCCTGAGTGGCACAAAGAATCTCATAACAGGCACCAGTAACCAGGTGTTACTGTGACTGTTGGATGCACAACAAGCTGACATGACTGTCATTCTCACATATGAACAGAGCCTATGAATGAGGTACTAAATCTCACACACATAAGCAACATAAGCTTGATTTTGTTACTCTCATACATGAGTCTGATCCATGGACACTTTGGTGACATTTCAACCATGATTCAGCAGACCCATGGTTCTTCCACTCTTCTGCTGGAACACAATCTTCAAGTGGGATTGGGGTTTTTACATGGATCCTGTGCATTGTTAAGAATGTGACTCATGTATTTTGACACAATCCATAGGAGGTGTTGACTCTCATACCCGAATCCAGGACTTGTGTGGGATTGTGAAACTTATTTCTGAATATTTTTGGGTGTCTGATGGACAAGTATAACTTTGACCAGCATCCGAGTTTTTGCCTCTGCTTTCTAGACTCGGAGCACAGTTGAAATTGTGACGTGTGCACCAGCACCTAAACAATATATAACAACTTCTTTGGCAATTTTCAAAGGGAACTTTTGCATATCACTTTGACCAGCACCCAGCTGATGTAAAATCTTGGCCTGAAACCTGCCTACAAAAGGCACCATGGCTTTTATCTAGGTCAATCATGTAAGTGCTGTGACTTCCTTCTACCTCCCTGGCCCTGCACTTATGGTGCATCGTGAGACATAACTGGCTACTGCACCTGGGTGATGTGACTATTTTCTGGGGTAGGGATATTCTGCCAATAGGAAGATTTGTAACATATCACTTGGTTCAGCACCTAGGTGATGTTTCTTCTCTCTTGCCTCGGCTCTGACCAGCACAGAGATTGCTAAATCAGACATATTGCAGAAGCCAGCACCAAGGTGAGCTTACTCTCCTGCCTTCGTCCTGCACACAGGGGCCATTGTGACATACATCCAGGCCGATTGCCTAGGTGAAGATTGTCTCCAGTCCTGTCTAAGCCCTGACCATAGGAGGTATTCCAATATATAACAGAAACTAGCATCCAGTTAATTTGGCTCCAGAGTCCTGTCCACGAGGAGGATTGTGACATTTCTCTGGACCAGAAACCCACTCAGTTAATGTGACTTTCCTTACTTCTCCCTGCCCACAGGTGATATTTTACCATATACCTGAGACCACAACAAAGGCATAATAATGACTCTTGTACCTGGAGCCAGGACATACTCAGGATTTTGACTCTCATCTATTAACCTTCTCACAGGTGTTATTGGGATATTTACCTTAGCCCAGCTCCACAGTGATTTAATAACCTTTTTCTAGTTATAGCCCACAGATGACATTTTGACATATACCTGGGTCAAGAACTGTGGTGATTTGACTCTTGTGTCCTATCAACGTCCTCAAAATGGATCATAACATATATTTGGACCCATCCTCCATGTTATGTGTCTCTCTTCTGCTGCCTGAACCCTGCTTTCAGTGAAGAGTGTAGCATTTCTTAGCATGACATCCAGGTGGCATGCCTCTCTTGCCTGGCCTTTTTAACAGGAGGCATTGTGACATATCTCTGGGCCAATTATTTAGGTTATATGACTCTCCTCTCCTGTCAGGACAATCTCCACAAGGATGATTATGCCACAGACCTGAGCCTAGACTCAAGTTTGTGACTTTTGTTAGGGCCCTACCTGCAAAGAAAATATTGAAATATTTCTGGCTTAGGATTTAGCTAACGTGGTTGTCCTGCCTGTTTAATAACCACAGAGAGGATGGTACACATACCTAGGCACAGCTCACAGACATGATAATGACTAATATATGTGGACCCAGCCACATATAAACTAGGTTTAGGGACATGAGAGATGTCCATGATTACCTTCTGGTAAAAAAAAAGGCACCAAAGTTTATAACAATGACAAATGTTTTATAAAACCGTTGGGTTGAATAGAGAGTGTCATAATAGTGGTTAGCAAACAGAGGAAATTGTGAGTCTCATATGCACACTTGGCTGACAGTAAGGACTTTCATCATCACAGATGAATGCAGGCAACTCTCCTACATGAAAACAAGAGATGTGTGGTATTGTAAATCTAATCCATAGGGGTTTTTGACATCTACTTGGGCCAACCTGTAAAAGATATGACTCTTCTGACTGGGCTCTGCCCTCAGTAAGAATTGTGACATCACTGGATCTAGAATGCAAGTGACATTACATTCCTGCCTGCCCATTCTCACAGACATCATAGTGATATATCACTGGGTCCATGACTTAGAAGAAGACATAACTCTAATCTCTAAAATGGGCCCTGCACACATGGCAGGATAGTGACATCTTCCTAGGCCAGTCACATATGAGATGATACATTCTTCCAGGGCCATGCTGAAAAGAAGGCATTTTGACATAGCACAGGGCATATAACATAGGTAGTATGGCTCCTCTCCTTGGTACCTGCACACTTGAATAATGACATATTGCTAGACCAGGTACAAAGGTGATTGTACTATTTTGCCAGGGCCATGCTTTCAGGAAGGCTTTGTGACGTGTCTCTGGGTCTATCATCTAGGTGATGTGACTTTCTTCTTAGTCCTGTACACATGAAGCACTGTGACATAAGGGTGGAACGGGCTCCTAGGTGATGTAACTCTCTTGCCTGAGTTGTTTTCTAAGGGGACTTGTGAATATCTCAGAACTCAGAACCAGATGATGTGGCAATTCATCCTCGTTTCTGTAAAAATATAAAATTGTGACATACACCTAAAGAAGCACCTAAGTAAGACGACCCTCTTTTTCTGCCTGAGGCCAGCCTACTGGTGACATTGGGCCATATTTCTGAGCCTATGACCCAAGTGATGTGACTCCCTATTTCAGCCTGGGACTTTTCAGTGAGAAGATTGTGACAAATTGATGAGCCCAACACTTAGGTAATGTGACTCTTGTCTTGTAACTGAACAATGTGCACAAAGAGGACTTTTGCTGTATTTCCTGGCCCTGCACCTGGATGATGTTACTCTTCTTTCTACCTCATGCATAAAGAGAAAATTATGGCATATTTCTCGGGCCAGCACCATAATCATGTGACTCTCCTGCCTGTACCAGAGCCACAGAAGGTATATTGACATATCTTTGGCCCATTCTGTACGTGTTTTGGCTCTCATCATTTCCCTGGGTTTCTTCCACATGTGGTTGTATCATATTGTTGGCTGCAGCCCTTGCTTTATGTGATGCTCTTTGCTAGGCCCTGCCTAAAGGAGGTATTGTGATATATTGTTTGGACTAACTCAAAAGTGATGTTAACATTCTCTTTGGTTTTTTGCTCACAAATGGGATTATGACATGTACCTAGTTTCGGATCAAAGCATGCTGATCAAGCTTATATTGGGATACAGTGAATAGGAGATATTTCACCTGTCACCACTTTGTTTACATCAAAAGGTAATGTCCTTCATTTCATATTTGTACAGAGATCACAGAAGTTTACAATATTAACTCATATCATAAAATATTGTGGGCGGTACAGGGAATTTTATTACAGGGCCCAGGAAAAATTTAAGATTGACTCTTGACTACATATGCAGGTGAAAGTAAATATTGTTACCATCCTACATTTACAAAGCCCATTGTTAAGGTCATGAGTCTATCAGGTAAATAAAGAATAAACTTGGAATTGTAAATTTCACAAGTGAATCTGGCCACAGATGGGAAGGTGACCCATTTCCAGAACCATATCACAGGCATAATCATTGTCTCATTTCTAAAGCAAACCTATAGGAGAAATGTCGGTTGTCATGTCTGTGTTTAGGGTAATATGTAAGATCGTGAGTACATATATGCATGTAGGCCTCAGAGAGGTTTGCAACACTTATGCATCTCATACAAAATTTTCAGATGTGGTAGGGAGTTTCATATTATAACCAGGACACATGTTAGATTGTGACTGTCATATATACCATAGCTAAGAGTTAATGGTGTCACCTTTAAAGATGAGGAGCTTGTGTCAATTCCCTTGGCCTACTACCCTGGTGTTGAAACTTTCTGGTTTAAGTTCCTTTCCATAAAAGCATCGTTACCTATCAATGGGTCAGAATCGTGCAGTGTGACTCTTCTGCCTGGACCCTGCAAATAGGGGATATTTTCACATATCTTCAGGCCTTTTAACTAGATGATATGTCTTTTCTGCCAGTGCCCTGCCAACAGGGTACACTGTGACATATTGAAAGATATAGCATCTAGGTAATGTGACTCTCCTGTCCTGTCTGGATCCTGCTCACTGAAAAAATTGTGACATACCACTGAGTGGTATGTCACATATTGCTGAAGCCAGCACCAAGGTGAGCTTACTCTCCTGCCAAATGTTACACTGTGACATATTTCTAGGGAGCTACCTAGGTGATATGTTATCAATGTCTGCCTTATCCCTTCATACTGGGAACATTGGGACATATCTTAGAGCTCATGACCTATATGATATGACTCTCTTCTTTTTCTGTCTGGGCCTTTGAAAAGGTGGGATGGTGAAATATTGCTGACCCCAGTGTTTAGGTCCTGGAACTATACAATTTTTTTCTGAACCATACCCACAAAGAGAAATTTTGACCTATTGCACTCAAATGATATTACTTTTCTGCCATTTTCCTAAATAAAGGGAAAATTATTGCATACTGGTGTCTCTGGCACCTTCATGATGCTACTGTTCTGCTTGTGCCAGAGCCTCAGTGGGTATTTTGACATACCTTTGGCCCATTCTGTAGGTGTTTTGGCTCTCATCCCTTCACTAAATTTTTACATGTGTAGTTGTGTCATATTGCTGAGCTCAGCAACCAGTTAATGTGACACTCCTTCCTAGGTTCTGCCTAGAGAGAGCATTGTGACATGTTGCTGGCCACATCACCTAAGTGATGTTACTCTCCCTGCCCCTCTTTTTTTGGCCAACAAACAGGAAGATGACTTATAACTTGCTTCAATTCACAGGCATGGTGGTGAAACTTATATTGGGATTCAGCCAATAAAAGATATTTTGGCTCTCTTTACTAGGTTTAGAGGAGTAGGTAAAATCCTGGATTGCATGTCTCTACAAAGCTCACAGAAGTTTAGAACACTAGTTTATATAATATAAACTCCTGGGTAGTAAAGAGCATTTCCTACTGTGTAAAACACTTGGATGTGGTAGAGGGTGTCATACAATGGCCCAGCACACACACGTGGCATTGTGACTCATGTGCATACCAAGCTAGCAGTTAAAGATGTCACCCTCAAAAATGAGAATATTGTGTCATATCACTGGGCTTAGTACCCATGTGCTAAAACTTTTGGTTACATTGTTTTCAAAGCATGCATTTTTGACAAATTACTGGGTTAGAATCATAATAATATGACCATTCTCCCTGAGCTCTGCAAACAAGGGATATTGTCACATATCTCTGAGCCTGTCAGAGGTAATTTGTCTACTTTGCCTGCACTTTTCTCTCAAGGAATATTGTGACATTGTTGCAAGTAGCATCTAAGAAATGTGGCTCTTCTGCAAAGATCCTACCCACTAAACAAATTCTGTCATACCGCTGAGTTCAAAACCTAGGTAAGGAAACTCTCCTCTTTATTCTGTCAAAAGAGAGGTTTACTACATATTGCTGAGCCAAACACCTATGTGTTGCGACTCTTCTCTCTTTCCTCAATCCTGTTAGAGTGGACATGGTGCCATATTACTTGTGTCTGTATCCAGGTTATGTGACTCTTCTGACTTGGCCCTGCCTGCAGAGGAGATTGTAATATATCCTGAGCTCAGAATCCAGGCAATGAAACTCTTCTGCCTTGGTTCTGCCAACAGTTGAACTTGTGACATATACTTGGTTTCAGCTCACATGCAGAAATATAACCATCATAACTGGACTCAGAAATTAGAGCTATTTTGACTCTCAAAGCCAGTCATGGCAATAAGTAAAGTAATGGGTCTCCTAATTGTATAAAGTTCACAGAAGATTATGACACTCAGGCATATTATGTAAAGCCTGAGTGGTACAAAGAGTGTCATAACAGGGAAAAGCAACCAGGTGCGTTTGTGACTCTTGGATGCACACCAAGCTGATCCAATTTTCATTCTCTCACAAGAACAGGGCCTAAAATTAAGTTACTAAATCTCACACATAAAAGCAGTCAAAGGTTGCAAATGTTCCCCTCATACATGGATCTTATTCATGTGTCATTTGCTGATGCATGATTCTACACACCTGTGACGATGTGACTCCTCTAGTGGAACACAATCTTCAAGTGAGATTGGGCATCTTATACATGGATGTTACCCATTGTTATTGTTGAGATTGTGACTTCTCTGCTTTAACCTAACTCACAGGAGGTGTTGACTCACATGCAAGAAGCCAGGACTTCTGCAGGACTATGAATCTTACTTCTGAATATTGTCTAGTGTGTGATTAGGACAAAAAGGTAGCACAGCTCCTGAATAACTTGACTTTCCTTTTTAGGTTATGACTAGTGATGAAATTGTGATATACATGGATCATACACCTAAGTGAAGATGTCTGGGCAGGCCTATAAAGGGCACTTTTAAGTATCACTGGGATCAGCTCCCAGGTGATGTGAATTCTTTGCCTGATTCTTGCCTATAAAAGGCAATATATCTAGATATATGTGGCTTATATCCAGGTCCATTGTGTAAGTGATGTGACTCCCTTCTACTGCTTTGGCCCTGCACTTATCATGCATTATGACACATAACTGGGCACCGCAAGCAGGTGATGTGACTCTCTTTTTTGGGCTCTGCCAACAGAAACACTTGTCTCAGAATCTAAATATTTTTTCTCTCATGTCTTGCCCTGACCACAGAGGAGATTGTGACATATTGCTAAACCCATGGCCAAGGTGAGGCAACTTTCATACCTTGGTTTAGCACATAGCAGCCATTGAGACACATATCTAGGCCAATTGCAAAAGTAACATGAGTCTTCTCACCTTCCTAATCCCTGTTAACAGGGGGAATCTTGATAAATCACTAAAATCGGCATCCTGGTGATTTGACTCTTCTTCCATTGTCCTGCCCACAAGAAGGATTGTGACATCTTACTGGACCAGCACCCACCTAGGTAAAGTCACCTTCCTGCTTGCCCTCTGCCCACAAGTAATACTGTGCCATATAACTGAGACCAGATATGAGGACTAATTATGACTCTTAAACCTGGAGACATGTCATATGCAAGACGGTGACTCCCATTCCTGTAATTTTCACCCTGTATTATTGTAACATATACCTTTGCCCATCTCCTGAGTTATTTAATAATCCTGCTTAGGTATAGTCCACAAATGAGATTTGGACGTATATCATAGCTGATCACCACAGTGATTTGACACTCCTGTCTTAACAATAACCTCAGGAAGGATTGTTGCATGTCTCTGGACCCATGATCTAGTTACCTGACTGTCCTCTCCTGCCCTGACCCTCCTTCCAATGGGGATTGTCACATTCCTAAGCACTGCATCTAAATGATGTGACTCTCTTACCTGGTCCTTTCAACAGGATACATTGTGACATATTCTGGGTTTGTCATTTAGGTGATATGAGTCTCTTCTTCTGTCTGGACACTGCCCACAATGGGCATTGTGCCATATTCCTGTCTTTAACCCCCAAGTTATGCAACTTTTCTGCCAGGAACATACCTACAAGGAGAATATTGGCACATTTCTCTCTCAGAATTTAGGTTACTTCACTGTCATGTCTATTTCATCAACACAGAGTAAATTCTTACATATATAGGCACAGTTCACAGGCATGATAATGACTCTTACATGTGCATCCCACAAATAGGTGTAATTTTGACTCTTATAACTTGTTTTAGAAAAAGGAGTGATTAAATATCTTTCTGGTAAAAAAAGCTCAAAGAAGATTATAACAGCCTCAGATATTTTATGTAGCACTTGGCTTGGACAGAGAGTGTCATAGCAGAACCCAGCAGAAAGGTGAAATTATCTCATATTCACACCAGATGACAGTAAGCGCTGTCACTGTCTTACATATATGAAGCCAACTGTTGCTCATGATAAAAGGACATGTGTGGTATTGTAAATCTCATCCAGGGAATTTTTTGCCAGTGTGATTGTGATATAAATCTCTGCCAAACACCTGTGTGATCTGACTCTCCAGACTGGTTCCAGCCCACATATGTTACTGTTATATCTACCTTGGCCAACCTCTAGGTAATGTGACTTTCCTGCCTGGATCCTGCTCTCAGTAAGAAGAGTGATATATCACTAGATCCAGCACGGAGGTCATGTTACATTTTTGCCTAAGCCATGCCCACAGAAGTCATTGTGACATATCACTGTATCAACCAGTTAGGTTGTACAAATCTCCTCTTTAGAATGGGCTGTACTCACACTAGGGGATAGTAGCACATGGCTGGGACTGGCACACTGTTGATGGTACTCTTTTTCTAGGGTAATGTCCAAAAAAGGGGATTGTGACAAATACCTTGGCCTATCAGGTTCGTATTTCTGCTCTCCTGCTTGGGTCTGGCTTACCTGGATAGTGACATATTGCTAGGCAAGGCACACAGATGGTGGTAGAGTTTCCCCAGAATCATGTCTCAAGGAGGATATTGTGACATATATCTGGGCCTGTTACCTAGGTGATATGACTACCTGCTTGAGCCTTGCCCATATGAAGCATTACAACATAAAGGTGGAACATGTACCTATTTGTTGAAACTCTCTTGCCTGGGTCTTGTCCTAAGGGAAGGTTGTGACATATGCCTGGACCCAGCCTCAAGGTAATGTGACTCTTCTGCATGGTACCACCTCACATGAGTGTTTCCCTCACCTTTTAGAAGAGTTTGTGTTTCTTTTTTAAGGGCATGACTCCCTTACCTTTATGAATTAGTCTTTCTCTGTCCTACATCTTGCTTTTCCTGCTCAAGTCCTCCCTGGGAAAAAGGGGCTCCAGGGTTGTCAACATGTGGGCATGCCCTGCTCACCCTTCTGCATAAGGTAGGTTGAAAAGAAAAAGATGAGCTGTCCCCAGCAGGTTTTTTTGGTGGATGTGATTATTTTGGTGATCTTATAATTCTGAAATTTTTAACATCTGTTATTGACATGTGGGCATGGCTAAATTTCACCACTCATCAGATTTTACAAATTATTAAAAAGAAGCAAATTACCATATACTTCTACTAAGCAGAAGATGGGGGAAAAGGAAGATGAAACAAGTGGCCTTTCTTTTCAGTTATTGTTGAGTTTGGAACTGTATTGGATTTTTAAAAATTATTTTGTTTAATCATGCATGTTGTGTGTGTGTGTGTGTGTGTGTGTGTGTGTGTGTAAGTGTGTGTGTGTCCCTCTTAGCTGCCATCATCTGTTGGGAATATTTTTTTCCTCTGCTTAGAGAATGGCCTTGATGAAAGCACTCAGCAATCGAATGGATAAGAATTGAACACATACTTCAGGATATTTTTCATTGTTCTTCCTTACATGTTCATTTTCTGAACAACAACAACAAAAAAACCCTATGAAATATTAAGGCTTTTTTTAAAACCTTGAAGTGGCATCCTTGAATAGTTGCCTTACATTATTTGTTTTAGCAGATTTCAAAGGTGACTGCCAAAATTCCCCAAGTGTTTCAAAAAAGAGAAAGACCCTTAATTGTGTTCACTGAGAGACCTCCCTTTTCCTTACTGGGACTGTCTGCTTCAAATTCATTCCGCTCTGTCTCTCTCCTTGTTGTTTTATTGTAATGAATCATTGTGATGGGAAGCAAATTAGAAGAGTGGGGAGATGGCTGGAATAAGAATCGTGGGGACTGACACACAGTCTTCTCTCCAAAGTTAACTTGTCAGTCACTGAATGTGTCTGAGCTTCAGTTTCCTTCAAATGAAGCAGGGGCTGACAAACTTTCTGTAAAGGGAAAGATGGTGAATATTTTGGGCTTTGCTGGTGATGTGGTCTCTGTTATAACTACTCAAATCTGCAAAAGCTTTTGTAGTGCCAAAGCAGCCATGGACAATATGCACAATATAGTGGGCATGGCTATATTCCAATAAAACTTTATTTACAAAACCAGGCACTGGGCTGGACTTGGCCTGTGGCCCATAGTTTGTCCAATGCTGACAAACTGTGTTCTAAAAGATCAGAGTAAAACATATTGCTTTTTTTTTTCTTGAGACAGAGTCTTGCTGCATTGCCCAGGCTGGAGTGCAGAGGCACGATCTCATCTCACTACAAGCTCCACCTCCCAAGTTCACTCCATTCTCCTGCCTCAGCCTCCCAAGTAGCTGGTACTACAGGTGTCTGCCACCATATCTGGCTAATTTCTTTGTATTTTTAGTAGAGATGGGGTTTTACCATGTTAGCCAGGATGGTCTCCATCTCCTTACCTCGTGATCCACCTGCCTTGGCCTCCCAAAGTACTAGGATTACAGGCATGAGCCACTGTGCCTGGCCCTGCCATCTTTTTCTTATCAGTTTATATGGCAGAAATTAATTATGACAATGAAAGCACTTTGAAAAATATAAAGCAGAGATTTGTTTCTAGCTAGGATTGGGTAGTCTGAGGCAAACTAACGATCCCAAGAAGTACCATATAAAATACAGAAAGCACCATTCTGTTTAAAGACATGTTGGAACATGAGGAGTAGGGGGGCTAAAATATCAAAAAGAAGAGAGCTGAGGAGAGATGAGCTGATGGTCTGTAGCTACTTTATTTATGGGGGATTTCTAATTCTGGGTGGTGACAAAATAATGTGGACCTGGGCTTTGTTTAGATGGAGTGTTGCAGCTCTGAGAAAAATAAACCTAGTATTCTCTTGGGACTGGGGTTGAGAGACAAAATTGGAGACTCGAGGAACCTGAAATTCACAGTTGGCTTTCCCTTCAAGACAGTTGCCCAATTCTGGACTGCATGGGATGAGAAGTTCAAAAGATAACCAGAATCCCTCTGGAAAGCAGAAGTGGTGTTCAGTAATCTTCTGGTGCTGAGAAAATAAGGATTACAGTTTAGGACTTGCTTTTGGAGGTTGCAAGGGGTGGGGTCATCACAGACACACCAGGCTCTCAATGAAGGCCAGGACAGCTAAGTCCTAGCCAAGGACATAAGCTAGGAGCAGCCTGAGTCTTGTAAGAGTTCCTGATTGGTTTAGATCATTAGCCAGCACCCCCATCCCCAACTCTATCTTCCTGGCAGAAGAAAGGAGAGCAAACTTTTGAGGAAGAAAACTTCATCAAAATCTTTTCAACTTTCTAATACATGATTAGAAATACATGATGTCTGGTATTCAATAAAAAAAAAATTACTCAGTGTGTCAATGTGACCATCCCCCAAAAATGAGAGAAAAACAAATGATAGAAACAGATCCACAGATGATCCAGAGTGAATAGAATTAAATTTAGCAAAAAAAAGGGGGATTTTAAAATAATGAATTAATATGTTCAAGAAAATAAATTTTTAATGGAGGAATTAGATGAAAATATGAAAAATTTAAACAGAGAATTGGAATCTATAGTTAATCAAATAGGCTTTCTATTACTTGGAAAATATATCTGCAATTAAGAACTCAATGGATACGGTTTTAACAGATCATATAAGCAGGAAACAAGCATAGTGACCTGGAAGAAAGGTTAATAGAAATGATTTATGCTGAAGTGCACAGAGAGAAAAATTGAACATATAGAAAAAGCATAAGAGACAAGTGGGACACAATGAAAAGTCTAAAATATGTGTAATTGGAGTCTCAGAAGGAGCAGAGTGGGAGGGAGTGAGACAAAAGCAATGTTTTAGGCTAAGAATTTCCCCAGATTTGTAAGAGAGATCAACCCATAGATTCAAGAAGTTGTACATACTCCAAGCATAATAAATAAAAGAAAAAGAAAATGCACAGAGTAGTGAATGGGTAAACATGTTATTCAGAAACAAACAATGCACTGGCATTGTAGATTTCTGTCTCTAGTGGATAAGACCCATTACAGTGTGAGGCTCTAGCTTCATGCTTCTTGGGTTTCCTTCCCTGAACCCTTGTGTATACTTCAACCGTAACTCTTTGCTCGCTGTCTCTTGCATTCTTCTGCTTCTTTACTTTTGTTAAGCTCAATTCATAACACCAGACCTTGGTGTTTCTCGTTTTTTAGTCACCTTTATCTTTGGCCTTATCATGTTACTGTTAACATCTGCAAGTTGCAGTTTAAAGGTCAAACAAGAGCTTCACCCATTGAGGTAGTATATTCATTTCCTGAGGCTGCTGTCTGTAACAAATATCACACATGTGGTGGTTTAAAGCAATAGATATGTAGTCTTTGGGAGCATTTGAGGCCAGAAGTCTGAAATCAAGGTGTCAACACAGTCTCACCCCATCTCGAGGCTCTAAAGGGAAAATATATTCCTTGCTTCTTCCAGCATCTGATAACCATCTGCATTCATTGGCTCATAGCCTCAGCTCTCTGCTCTGTCTTCATATCACCTTCTGCTCCATATGCCTATGTCGTCTCCTGTGTGTCTGTCTCAAAACTCTCTGTGCCTCTCTGTTATAAGGATCCCTGTGACTGCATTTAGGGACCACTTGTATAAAACAGGATAAGCACCTCTTCCCAAGGTCTTTAACTTAATCACATCCTTTGTTATATAAGGTAATATTCACAGGATCTAGGGATTAGGACATGGACACATCCTTTGGGGGAACCTATTAAAGGTGATGCTGCTGTTAAAATAATAATAGTAAGGACTTAACAACAGTAGTTATGTGCCAAGAAGCATGCTAAGTTCATTCTGTTAATTGTCTCATTTAATCCTTGTACTGTCTCTATAAATCAGATTCCCTTATTACCACAGTTGTACAGAAGAGGGCTGTGAGGCTTGGTGAGGTTTAGGGACTTGCCAAGGTCGCTCAACTAGTAAGTGGCAGAGCCAGGATTGGAACCCAAGCATCTGAGCTTCAGACCTCCTTGCCTTACGTGCTATGAGTGAGCAGGCTGGATTTCTGGTTGGACTGCTTCCAGGAGCTGGCTTTTAGACTGTTGGCCCTGGATGGTACTTCCTAGCTCTAAAGTTCCATGGTCCAGTGAGTTGTTGTCACAAAAGAAAATCTCAACCTGGATTATTAAGAGTATAACAAATTTTAATCTGCCAGATAGTGGAGAGAATTTGTTTACACTGCTAATAGATAAAACTGATAGGAGTTTGCTGTTGTGCATTTTGGTATTTGCTGATGGTTTAAGGGTGTGTATACCAGAAGGAAAAATTAGTTGTGCACACACAGGCCAAAACTACAGCATCTGAATGAATTGAAATAATTACTCAGATTATTTGGACTCTGTCTACCATATAATTGAGGTAAATGGGGTTATTGATTTGAAGTAGCTAGGTCATTTGGTCTACCTCCCTTTGATAATGTGAACATGGTCATATCATGTAATTGTATAATTGGCTGAAAGGGCTCTATTCTTTCCCTTGAAGCATCTACTATTGTCTGTGGCCAGGCCATTGGGTTGTAGTGTGATAGTGTGTTCAGTTGTTACAGACAAACCCTAAGTTCTTGGTGTGGGTTTCCTAGCGGAAAATTCATACATATATGTGTGTGTATTTATGTATGTGCATATATTTTAATTAAAAATGGAATTATAAAAAGTATTTTTAATGTATGATTATTCTTGATTATTCATGTAAGAGTTTTAAAGAACTATGTGCTTCCAACTTAAACCACCTCAGAGTCTATTTGAGGAGACAGACTCCTTTGTGAAAAGTTTTTTTATTTTTATTTTTAATTAAGCTCCACTGTAATGTCTATATTTGAATTGCCTAGGAAACTTATTATAGCAGAGCTTATTCCTTGTCAAAGATGGTCAACAGAAAATTAGATTCAGTTTATTAGCTTCTACCTAAGTCTTACTTAAAGGGGCCCATGTTGTAGTTTTGTTATTGGATCACAAACATTTAACTTGATCCTTCCTATTCCTGGCACTGGCCCATATTGTCACAGAAGCTGTGCTGCCCAAGGGTGTCTGTGGCATGGCCTTTTCAATTCACTCTCCAAAATGGCTGAGTAGTGCATTCTGAGACTCCATTTTACATTGGGACCAAGCCTGCTTTGTCTGCCGTTTGTTGAAGAAGTCTGGCTAGCCTCAAGTAGGGAGATTACATTATGAAGGGCAAGAAATTCTGCGGTGGGTAGGTGGGAGAGAGTGGGCCACATCACAGCTGATGGACACATGTCTCAGATTTTCTGGAATCATCTGGCTTTAAAATATCCTCTATGGTTTTAGACCATAAATCCTGAATTTTTGCATGGAAAATGAGGCTCAAGTGACATCTGCTCATGTGTCTCTCACATTAATTGTATGTGTAACAGGCCTCTTACATGATATTTCTACCCTTAACAAAAAAGGAGAAAATGAGAAGATTTAGGTACACACACACACACACACACACACACATGCACACACACACATATATATATATATATATATTCCCCACCTAGCCTCTGTCTGAAATGTGTGGTTTTGGTTTGGGACAGCAGCATTCATTGTTGACATCATTGATCCAATTATTTTATCTCCCACTTCACTTCGCTTGCCCAGATGTGGTCCAAAGAGTATAGGGCTGTTAAGATAAAACCAGGCTCAGGAAATTCAAATGAAATGTCTACTTGAACCTCCTCAAGTCTTCCCTGTGGGCTGTGTATTTATTTATAAGCCTGCTGGGCTTGGGCAGCAGAAAAAATGAAGAGAGGAGAAATTTGTTTCTAAAATGAAAACAAAATTTAGTTAATATAAATGCTACCAATGTGCAACTCACCCTGCCAGCTCCCAATAAATGTACAAATATCAAAATAACACAACAGATAAAAATCACAGTGGAAAAAGAGAAATTGAGACACTTCTGTATTTTGCAGGGCCAGAATAATCCACACAATTTACTCCTTCCACCAGGCATATTTTACATATTACCTTATTATCTGATTTCACATAATACTTACATTGTAATTTCTGAATCAACTCTAAAATTCATAAAAATTTGCAATAAAGCTATGTCCACTCAAAGTGTTGAAATAAGTCAATAATATGGAAAATTCATGTTCTTAAAAATGCCTTGGCTTCAGTTATCACATTTAATTTTCTTAGTTTTCTAGTTTAGTTTACAAATGTCAAATAACTAAAAGTTACAGGAACCAAAAATGATAAACTTCTCTCAAAACTTATTGTACATAAATCTTAGAGTTTTTTTTCTAGCATTTAAATAAACAACAATGGATAATAATTCTATATGTTCCTTTTTCAACTTTTTTTCTATAGCATAATGATATTGACTAGATATAAGTGACAGCTTATTTAAAGCCAGTGAGTTTTGCACATGGACTAGAATTTTTAAGAAAAATTAAAAATTTTTAATGTAGAGTTGAGTTTCATTTTAAACATTTATTTATTTACTTATTATTATTTTAGAAACAGGGTGTCGCTCTGTCACCCAGACTGAGTGCAGTGGCACAATCACAGCTCACTGTAGCCTTGAACCCTTGAGCTTAAGCAATGCCCCCACCTAAGCCTCCCAAGCAGCTGGGATACAGGCACACACGTCCGTATCTGACTAAATTTTAAATGTTTAAAGGAGAAGCTACTGCTTCAGCCTCCTAAAGTGCTAGGATTTGTAATTTTCAATGTTTTGAGATAGGAGAAAATTAAAAATAGTTTTTCACTAGGTCATGTAACTCTTCATGTAAGAGTTTAGGTGTCTGATATACTTTGTGGATATTACTTAGTCCTTTCTGGTTTTGTTAAAACTAATTTCCTTCAGAAAACACAGCAGTGGCTAGGCACAGTGGCTCATACCTGTAATTCCAGCACTTTGTGATGCTAAGGAAAGTGGATTGTCTGAGCCCAAGGGTTCAAGACTAGCCGAAGCAACATGGCGAAACCTCATCTCTACAATAAATACAAAAAAACAAAACAAAACAAAAAAAACAGCTGGATGTGGTGGTGCACACCTGTGGTCCCAGCTACTCAGGAGGCTAGAGAGGGGGAATCACCTGAGCCTGGGAGATGAAGGCCGCAGTGATCTGTGATGGCATCACTGCACTCCAGCCTGGTGACAGAGTGAGACCCTGTTAGAAAGAAAAGAAAAGGAAAGGAAAGGAGAGGGGAGGGGAGGGGAGGGGAGGGAAAGGGAAAGGGAAAGGGAAAGGGAAAGGGAAAGGGAAAGGGAAAGGGAAAGGGAAAGGGAAAGGGAGGAAAATCTACTAGTGCTGGGTTGTAACTTTTAGGGAATTCATCAAGCTGAGCACCATGTTTTCAAATGCCTCCCCTGATTTTTGTACTTCTAATCTGCTAGAAAAACAGATGAGCAGACTCATTATAAATGTGTATTTAAAAAGAACAGCTATATGGCCTGAAGGACTGCACAAAGGGGACTGAAGTTTATTGAAAGTATCATGGTTTTGAGAATTATTTGGCTTCTTGATGTTTTGTGGATCTGAGTTTTTAGTTGCTGGAATTTGACATCTAAATAAGAGGCTGTTGCTATGATATGTAAATAGAGTGTGTCATTATGCATGTTGAAAGGACAATTTACAATTTACAAAGATGGAAAAGCTCAATAAAGATCTACTATAGAAAAGATACTGCAAAGGCAAAGCTATAGATAGATGGGCTTCTTGAAGGTGAACAGAATTAATGACAAGTGAAGGAAAAATTCACATCACAAAGAGGGAAAATGTCTTCCAGATGTCAGTGAGGGGAACACTATTCCTTTTCCTTTAGGCTGTATCCTGGGAATATCACCCATTACCTGAAACCCCAGCATGCTGAGCATACCAGGACCTGAGTAATACAGCAGAACACATTCTATATCAATGTGTTTCCACACTTTCCCCTGCTGGCTTTGTAAACCTCCATTGGTTAATCATCTTGTCTTGTTTCCTTTTATCTTCCTGGTACCTAGCACAAGCATGGCACATAGTAGGTGCTCAGTAAATGTCTGTCTTAGTCCACTGTCTGTTGTTGAAACAAAATACCCAAGACTGGGTAATTTATAAAGAACAGAGTTTTTTGTTAGTTTGTTTGTTTGCTTGCTTGCTTGCAGTTCTGGAGGCTAAGAAGTCAAAGATCAAGTTGCTGACAGGTTTGTTGTCTGGTAAGGGCTGATCTCCACTTCCAAGATGGTGCCTTGTTTCTGTGTCCTCCAGAGGAGAGGAATGCTGTGTCCTCACATGGTGGAAGGCAGAAGGCAAAAGGGACCAAACTCTGTCTGTGAAACCATTTATAATGATATTAATCCACATATAAAGGCTGAGCCCTCCTGACCTAAGCACCTCTGAAAAGGACCCACCACCCAACACTGTTGCATTGAGGATTTAGTTTCCAACACATGAATTTTGGGGAGACATACTCAGACCACAGCAATGTCTATCGAATTAAGTCTTAATGGTAAAATATCTTCTTTGTCTAACAGTTGTGTGTACAATTATTCCCCACACCCCCATAAGATTAATAATGTAATTTTTGTTTCAGTCAGCAGTAGCCACTTTGAATCAGCAGGACTGAAACAAAAAATAAAAATTTTATTACTTAAAATTTATAGATCTACATGAATGGTATTTTAGGTAAGTTTGTAATGCTTATAGTTCTGAAATTTCAGCATAAAACTGTATTGAGACTTTTGGGATGCTTTGTATATCGTAAAAGAAGGTATAATGATAACTGGCATTTATTGAATACTACTATGTCCTAGAAATGTAAGCCTTCATAGGTTTCCTGTGAAGATCCTACCAGGTAAATATTGTTATTGTCCCTTTTTATACTTGGAGGAAGATTAAGAACTCACCCAAGGTCATTTGGCAAGAACACAAGCCAGGATTTGAACCCAGGAAGTCTAAATCCAGAGCCTGGGCCCTTAACCACTGAGTTAAACTGCTTCTTAAGGTGACTTGCCTGCCTGCAGTGTTTGCTGAAGGGAATGGATTTACCCAGACAGGCCTGGCCCTTGGTAGAAACACTGCACAGCTCGGTGTAGAAGCAGTGACTCATCTGTACTTGCAGAGGCTGTAAAACAAATGTGGTGAACTGTAAAAGATTAAAGAGCCAGTTTTCCTGCCAGCTACCAGAAAGCTTTACATATACTTATTAAAGTTCTTATAGTGCTGGCATCTATTATTTAAAAAAAAACTTTTTACTGACATGTAATAAACAGAATGTTTCTTTTTATGACAGAAGTAGTTCTTGAAAGAGTTACATCTCTAGAACTCTAACACACTTCTGTGTCAACCAGACATGACTCTAGTCCAGTGGTTCTCAGAGTGTGATCTGGGGACCCCTGGGAGGTCCCAAATATTTTCAAAATGATACTAAGATCTTTGTTCGCCTTTTTCACTCTTCTCCTCTGACAAGTGTGCAATGGAGTTTTCCATTGGTTACATGACACATAATGGCATCATCACTAATTAACATGTGTGCTTGGATATTCTTATTTTTAAAATGTCTTAGTTTTAAGTGTTCTAATTTGATGAATATAAATAGATGTAACCCACATAAACAAAAGTTCTTAGGGGCGACCTCAGGAATTTTTCAAAGTGGAAAGTGGTTCTGTAATCCTTTTCTAAGAGTTTGGTCAGTGGAGGGTGTTTATTGCTTTTTAATAGAAATTTATTCCTAACATACCAGAGTTTGCAATCACCTTCCAATATGTAAGGAGTTGAGTGAGATGAAATTAGAAAGACAAACCATTCAGAAAGATAAACCATTCTCCTTGAGCTTCCTCTCTTCTTTCAGGATGCTCCCAAAGCCCAGAGTAACTTATTTTCTAAAAGAAGGGGTATTCTTTCTACCTCAGATATCCAAAGATGGGGTATTTATTCTAACTTGCAAGGCATTCTTTTGAAAAGAACAGTCCTAGTTACTGTAATTGTTAATAAGGCAGCCTGTCAAGTCTCAGAATCCATTCTTCTGTGTGATCAGAAGCGGGCTGCATACGTCCTTCCTTATGTTTAATCCACTCTGCTTTGAGGTCTTAAGAATTAGCTGTTCTTGGATTAAGTGCCCTTAATCAGCTCGTTTTACATTACAATGCAAAGTTTCTCCTGTTCTACAGAGAACTTAATTTTCATTTGCTGTCTATGATCACAGAATAGTAAGTGGATTCCTAAGAAATTTCATGAAGTGAAATGATTATGCAGAGATTGGGGGAGGTGGTGGGGGATGTAAAGCTAATTGATTAGTTTAGAATCTTCTAATTTTCATAAGGAATATAGGAGCCCAATTTGTATTTCTTCCTCTTGGCATCATGTTCTCACAGATTGTCTGATGTTTCATTATCATCTTGACAGAACAGCAGATGAAGAATTTGTTGACTAGCATATCCGTTGAGTTTTTGCCATGTGCATTAGTAGTCCGCAATTAGTTTATTTTGACTCTACTAGTTGATTATCTGAGAGCTTTAAGAGTTAAGAGGAGAGCGGCTCTGAGTCCTAAGTTTTCAGTGCCACTGTCCTTTGAACACTGCAGACAACTACACCCCCAACACCAATATACTGGGCTTTGAGAACCATAAAAGACTGGTGTTAATGTCCTCTCATAATGACATTTGTGGGCAGAATGCTTCCCTATTTAGAATTTTCTTAATCCTTACATATAGCTGACCTCAGTGTTTTCATCTGTCAGCACTGGTCATTTGCATGGTTTCAGTGTTAATTTGCACACTTGTCATCCTAGGGTTGTGTTTTCCTGCCACCAACCTGTTTTTGGAGTCTCTTCCCAGTGGATTTGAAAACTCCTGGCTACTAGAGTGAGGATTTTCACATACTCACACAAAGTGGAAGTGAGCAGATTGTGGCTTTTGCCAAATAAGCCTCTTTGATATTCCCCACCCCCTAAAAATAACATCATTTCTCCAAGTAGTCGTTATAAAGAAACACCACAGAGCAAGTTTTTCTAACAAACACACACCACCTAAACAAGCTGGGCAGGCCACACGCTGCTGTTGTTGCAGCTGTTTGCTGATCACAGGGTCTAGCTCCTGTGAGCAAGGAGGTGTTTATGGCCTAGATATAAAGCCTGGCTGCAGTGAGGAGGTTGCTGGCCACCAGTCCTCATTTATCAGCTTTTTTTTCCTTACCCTTGGAAGACCTGAGATCTTTATGGGAGACAGCATGGTGGAGAGTAGGAGGCTGGGTTTTGCTGTCTTGTCCTTCTTAGTAACTGGTTCTGTATTTGCTCTATCCTTTGTTTTTGTTTTCTCAATCATGTATTAATTTGATAAGGATTTATTGACTTCTAGTTATGTACTAGGCAAAAAACTAGTTGTGAGGAGAACAAAATGAACAAGAAAAAGTCCCTGGCTTCACTGAAAGACATTCTAGAAAACTGTGATAGTGAGTACTAGATCTAGATAGTGCCTTGACACAAGGAGGGAGGCCTTGGCTTGTGGGTTGAAGAAGTCTCTTCTAGAAAGAGTTATGAAGGATGAGTAGGAGTTCTCTAGGCAGTCTGGGAATGAGGAGGGGAGGAGAAGGAAAGATTGGTGTCTTAAATATCCATCTACCCTGATTCTCCCACTCCTGCCACCTTGCAGACCTTATGAATTGATTGGGAACTGTTTCTCAGTGAGCTCACCCTTGGCTTCACAGTGTTTTTTTTTTTTTTAAACATGGCTCTAGACTGCCTCTCACAGAATCATCTTCAGACTTGAGTGAGCAAACAAGTCAATAAGCATGGTTGTTGAAATGCTGGTCTGATTGAGTAGGTCTGTGGTACAGCCTGGGATGCTCATTCCTAATGTGAACACATTCTTCCCACCCCCAGGTGATCCTGATGCAGTTGTGCTCAGCAGCTGCCACTTTGCTGAGAAGTCAATATGGCATGGTCTCATTCCATAGATGGATTATGAATTGATAAGAGCAATGTGGGGCAATTTGGCAATTGCCCCTGTAAAGATATATAAGAGTGGGATTTTAGAAAAGCATCGTGATAGAAACTATTAGGAACTATGGAAATGATTCTCATTAGGAAAGCAGAGAGGTGACTAAGGAGACCTGGTTACAGTGGCAGCCTTTTCATCCAAGGAAGCACAGATCAGATGGAGCTCATATTCCTCAGAGAGTTCTGGCATAATGCCTTGTTCACCTCTACCTTAGACTTCTGTCCTCTGCCTTCTATTTCTGCACTGTGGGCAGGAAGTCCTGGGACATGGAGAAGGTCAGTAACATGTTATTTGCATTTTGCTTTCCTTAATTATGTCACTCTCTCTTTATAAATGTCTTTGAATAACATTTTTAAAATTTAAACTGAAAAGTTGAATTTGCTTTTCAAATATTTACTTTGGTTATTTTCTTTCATCGTACCCTGAAATTAAGCATGTCTGGCTTATACTGGATATTTATAATCACTGTGGGTCAGAGAGTGTTTGCAGACTCAGCACCTGATACCCATCAAAGGTTCTCCTTTAGTGGGATCCTGTGCCTTCAAGACACTTTTCTGAGAAGATATCAGAGCAATCATACTCTTAGTTGAAACTGAGACTCCTCAAAAGTGCCTTTAAAGACGCATTATTTTTCTTATATGTTTTCTCTAAGAGCTTGGCTGCAGCAGCATTGTTTTTGGTACTGTTTATTTCTGCATAGTAAGTCCTCACTTAACATTGTCAGTAGGTTCTTGGAAACTGCAACTGTAAATGAAACAATGTATCATGAAACCAATTTTACCATAGGCTAATTGAGAAAATCAAGACTTAAATTCCTATGGCATATTTCTGTTCACAAAAACATTACCAAACTTCTCCATAAAGGCCAAAATATTTCTAATACTAAACATGGAAATAAATGTGAGCTGTACATACAGTAAAGAAAGATTAATAAAAACAAATAAGATAATGACTTGCCCAATTTTTTGTAAAACAGTGAGTGATAGTGGTTGTAGCGGTAGTGGGTGAAATCAGGGAATAAATGTTTACAAAGTGAAATTCGTAAGAAGCACTTCCCCCCACCAGGAAGTTAAAAAACAATAACAAATCCGGTGGGCTCACCAGGTGCTTTCATCCCACATTGTTAATGGTTGCGCATCTGTGTGATTATCATGGACTGTACACATTTTTATTTTACAATTATTTGTATTCATTCCTTCATTCATTTTCCAACTGATGTATTCCAGTTCAGCTTCTTGGATGGCTGGAGGCTGTGCCAGAAGGTTAGGATGCAAGGCAGGCACCAGCCCTGGACAGGATGTCATTCAATTGCAGGAGTAGTCTCTCACACACTCTCACACTCCCTCAGACTGGGACAATGTAGACATGCCTGTTAACCTAACGTGGACACCTTTGGGATGTGGCAGGAAGCTGGAGTGCCTGGAAAAAACCCATAAGGACATGAAGAAATTAAGTCTTGAGACTTTATAATTGAAAATCCGGACAGGATTTATATGACAAATCATTTTGCATTGTAAATACAGTAGTTTAATTTTTATATTATTTGTACATATTCATTAATGGCTGTCTTTGATGCCATCAGTGCAATGTACTCTCAAAATGAGAAGAACTACCAAGAATGTCAGCTATCATACTCCTTAGGAAAATGGCTTAAAACATTCACAATATCCTTTCTTCTGAGTCACAAAAAGCTCCTCTTGGATTTGGTATGGGTGAGTTTGGTTACCAGTTCTGAATAACTGGTGATCCTTTGTGTCTTCTCTGACAGAAGTACTTTTAAATGTATGAAATACTTTATTAATACTCCAGGTTCCATTTCTAGCTGGTTGCTTTTAATATTTGAGTACCCACTACTAAATCTAAGCATCAGGGCACTTGGTGTTTCTTAAAAAGGGTTCTTGATATATCTTAATCTGTGTCTTCTCTGACAAAATGGACTGGTGAGGTGAGCAATAATGCCATCTTCTGAGTTTTATTAATAGATACAGTCAATAGAAATTATTGAGGCAGTCTCATTACAAATACCTGGACACTGAATTTTTACAGCACAGTGGGGTGTGTGTGTGTGTGCATGTGTGTGTGTGTGTAATTTACTGACTATGTGTGATTCTCTGAAATGACAAGCAAAGCAATAACAATTTACCTTTCCCCCTCTCCCATTGTCATGGCAGTCTGATGTTTAACAGTCATTTGTGGTCCGACAGCCTGCAACTTAATTCATTTGATCAGGCATCTGTTGCTTTGCCAGTTACTCTCTGACTGACCTGCAGAATCTTAGGTTTATATAAGCTTAAAGAAATTATTTTAATCTTACTGAGATTCCACTGTGTGTTCATCCATGGTTTAATTAAATTATTAAGAACAGTGTTTCAGAACTCATTCAGCTCAATAGGAAAACCACAAATAACACAACTTGAAAAATGGGCAGATGGCCTGAATAGACATATCACCAAAGGAGATATAAGAGTGGCCCACACATGTAGGAAAGAATGCTTATTAACTAACTGATTATCAGGGAAATGCAAATCAAAACCATAGTGAGATATGAGTTAACATGTATTAGGATGGCTACTATAAAAAATACAAGAGATAACAAGTGCTGGTGAGAATGTGGAGAATAAGAGAAACCTTGCACATGGTTGGTGGGAATGTAAACTAGTACAGTCATTATGGAAGACAATATGGAGATTCATCAAAAAGGAAAAATAGAAATACCATATGATCTAGCAACCCCATTACTGGGTATTTCTCCAAAGGAAATGAAATCAGTATGTTAAAGGGATATCTGCACTCCATCTTATTTGCAGCATTATTCATAATAGCCAGTATATGGAAACAATCTACATGTCCATCAATAGATGATTGGATAAATAAACTGTGGTATATATACACAATGGAATATTATTCAGCTTTAAAAAAGAAGGTGATCCTCCATTTTCAATAGCATGGGTGAACCTAGAGGACATTCTGCTAAGTGAAATAAGCCAGACACAGAAGGAAAAATACTACATAATCTCACATATTATGTGCAATCAAACTAAAAATCAAATACACAGAAACAGAGAGTAGAACTGTAGTTTGGGGGGCGGTGGTCAGGGAGATGGGGAGATGTAGGTGAAAGGTACAAAGTTGCAGTTATGTATGATAAGTCAATCTAGAGATCTAATACACATCATGGGGACTGATCTAATGTACAACATGGGGAATATAGCTAATAATATTATATACTGGAAATCTGCTAAGAGAATAGATTTTAGGTACTCTTCCCACACACAAAAAAGAAAACTAACTTTGTGATGTGATTGTTATGTTGGCTTTCTTGAGTGTAGTAATCATTTGACTAAGTATGTGTACATCAAAGCATCAGGTTGTACACCTTAAATGTACACAAAAAATCAATTAAAATAGAATTTTTAAAAAGAATAGTTTTTTGTGAAAGCATATTGGTGGTTGCTAGGGCTGGGGGAGAGAGGGGAATGGAAAGAGTAATTGCTTAATGGATGTGGGGTTTCCTTTTGGGTTGATGAAAATGTTCTAGAACCTACACATGGAGTTGATGGTTTTGCAACATCATGAGTGTACTAAATGCCACCAAATTGTTCACTTTAAAATGATTAATTTTATATTATGGAAACTTTACTTCAAATTTTAAAAATAGTGTTTTAATGGTGTGGTCTCCTAAGCCTGGATATGTATGTGTTTTATTTTTTTTTTAAGTTTCAGAAACATGAATTTGTTTAATGAAAAGATGACAGAAGTCTAAATTTTTAGAGGCCTAGAATAAACATTCTCACTTATTCCACAGATTTAGAAATGACACATGTGGAAGAAATAGGCTTTGTCTTCTGCAAGCATTGTTTTAAAAATTGGACTCCCATTTCTTACCTATACAATAAAAAGTCCTGCATTGAAAAGTGATTGATTTTAATGTTTTGCTAAATTGGATCTACTGCAAAGCCCAGGCACATTGATGTTATAGCACTAGCAGTCTTGAAGTAACTTTTTTTAAAAAAAGAAAGAGATTTGGTTGAGCAGTGTCATTATTAGCTTCACCTGTGAGCGAACTTACCTGAGGGAGATGGTGTCTTTCTCACATTGCGCTCCTTGATATTGACAGATCCATCAGCTGATGTAATTAGAAAAGCAAAGTCAGACGTTGAATGATTAAGTTAAAGTCAGAAATTATTTCCAGGCAAAATAATAGTAACTTTTGCATTTCAGCCTGCTGTTTCCTGCTTTATAGAGCCGAGTGAAATATGTAGTTGCTGTATGCAGTGGTTTCTTTCTTGTGTTGGAGGCTGATACTTTCCCAATAATAAAGTCTGAAATAGCAAAGACCTCACTTTGGCCCTTTGCAAATGTCTGAAGGGCTTTATTTCAAGGGAATAAATAGGGCTGCAGAATGTTTTTCCTAAACAAAACATAGCCATAGCAAAAACAAAATTTCCTTTATCCCAGGAGTGTTAAGAAATGTGTGGTTTTGTGGATTTTTTTTTCTCTATTTTCATTCCTTTCTTTTCCTTTTTTTTACCTCTTGGAATAATGGTTTATTTATTTATATGGAGTTATTTTCTGAAAGGAAAACAAAACACTTATTTAAAAAGATGTTTGGACTCTCATACCACCCAAAACAGCTTTTCAGCAGTAGTTTCTGTATTTTGATTTTAGAAAAGCTGATTATTGGTAATACTGTCCAGAACAACAACAACAAAAAATTCCAAAAGATTCAAAATGTAATCATGTGGTTCTAAACTTTGTGTTTGTCTCAATGCCAATATAGAAAAAAAAAAAGAATTAGGAAATAGAGGCCAGTATCAAATACCTGCAGATTTGTCCTTGAAGCCTTTGATGTACCTTGTGTTGGTGTGGGAATGAACAGAATGTCATCCTCCACCCTGCATGACTGATGGTCACACTGCGCCTGGACAGTGCCAGGGTCAGAGATAGGAAGGAGGGCAGACATCCGTGCCCTACTTTTATCAAATGCCCCATCCATACTCTGCAACCTGACAGGTCTTGGCTTTGGCCATATGGGATTGAAAATAAAATTATAATTACTTGCCACATTTAAAGATTAGGAGGATTAAGATTTCTGACTTATTGAAAGTAAGAGTTAGAAGCTCTGGCACCATTGGGCCCACTTCCCCTTTAGCAGTAACCAGGCAAGAAGGGCAAAATGCTGCCCCCTTGGGCAAGATGAGGCCGCGATGTTCATTGCTTTTCCCCTGGCTCGTATCTCTTGTTTACTTTATTTCCCTGGCCCATGGATGTCTCTGTTACTGGCCTTGGGATCCACATCAAGCCCTCTGTCTCATAAGGAGATGAGACTCTGCCCCTGCCCAAGTCAGGGAGAAGCCAAGAGAGAGCTGACCTTTGCACTGCAGCACGACAAAGCCCTGGTTCGGGATGAAGATGAGCAGGAGTTCAAGACCAGCCTGGCCAATGTGATGAAACCTGATCTCTACTAAAAGTACAAGAATTAGCTAAGCATGTTGGTGCACACCTGTAGTCCCAGCTGCTCAGGAGGCTGAGGTGGGAGGATCACTGGAATCCAGGAGGCAGAGGTTGCAGTGAGCCAAGATTATGGTATTGTGGGAGCACGTGGGTGTCCTTCCCAGATGAGGTGAGTGTGGTCACTGTAAATTAAGAGTACAGAACATGACAGAGTAGAAAGTGGAGAAAAAAGTGTGATCAGCCCTCACAGCGTCTGCCCACTCTGAATAGGCTGGTGTTTTCTCTTTCTGAAGGGTAAAGGTGGATAAGACAGCCTCACCAGTGTACCTCATCTTCACACTATGAAGTTATAATTAGAAATTTTAACTTATGATGAGACAGTTCATGTGGTTCAGCCTTAGAGTCAGGTCCTGGTCAAAGGCCAGGAAGCCAAAGTAACTTCAGAATAACTCATGCCTTTTCCTTGTAGCTCTCCTCTAGGATGAAGGGGACCCATTATCCTCAGCAATAGTTAAAACATTAGTTTTCTCTCCCACCACTGGACAGGCATCTCTTCCCTAGAACTCCCCAGAACAGCTCTCCACACTCCCTTGGGGAACACTTAGCCCAGAATCCCTAGTGCCTGGGCAGGCAGAAGGCTGGAACCCTCAGGCAGCAGTGGTGTTTCTCCTGCCCACTGGAAGCGGATATCTTCTAGCCTTTTGTTCCTTGCTCCAGCAACCTACACATGCCATGTGGGTGTTCCTTATTCCAACTTTAGCTCTGATTTTGGGGAACTCTTTCAGTTAACATTGAAAACATTTGTTATATTATCCAATGTTACTTTTTAGTTAGAAACTGGTACCTTAGCCTCCAAATTGAAACATTAAAATTATTGCATTTTAAAGTTGAAAGCTCCTTTAAGGTTGAAATATCCTTTTGCAATTGACCATTTAGTCTTCATTTTGTAAATGAGGGTCCCAAGAGATGGAGAGGGAGATATATAGCTTGCCCATGGTTACATAATTTGTAAACGAAATCAGGCAACTATTAGAAAACAAAATAGTGGAGAGGTTACTCTGATAAGCAGGTTGAGAAACAGACCAACAGGCTGCAATTGGTATGTCTATCCAAATAGAGAAATCATTCCTTTGTTTATTTGCCTAGGAGTAACACTGAGGGATTGGTCACTTTATGAGAACTATGTTTTCTTTTGTATTTTAAGGTTAGGGTTCAAATAGAAACAAGACATTAAGGCCTTTAATCATATTTGCAGTAGGAGCCTTTTTTTTAATTGCTTTAAGATCATTGAGAACATTTTTATTTTTTTCTTTTAACCATGAAGCTAAACTTACTTTGACAGCATGCTTACCAAAGATTAAAGCCACAAAACTGCTTAGTTTTGACAAGAGATTCATTTTTAGATTATAAGATAAAAATTTTAAAGCTTTATGTTTTATTCAGGGAGCATTTAAATATAAAGTGGTTGATTGACCACTAAAATATTTCTAGTGCACTGACTTGGGAGCATGGAGGTTAAGAGGTGTGGGTGGGAATGGGGAAGGATTTCATGGTCCCACACCTTGTTGTCATCACCATCCCCGGGTGGGTAGTCCCCCAATTCACCATGGCCAGCGCCACTGCCCGTGATTGTTTTGTGCTCTGTATATTACACACGTCATCCCACTTGATCCTCACAACCACTCTATGATGGAAGACACGTTGATGTTATTATCACCATTTTATACAAAGAAATTGAGTGTTCACATACCTGGGGTTACCAGGCAGTGAGGAGAGCAACTGGTACAGAACTCTGTCTGCTTTCTTCTTGAGACACAGGTCTTACTCTGTCTGCCAGGCTGGATTGCAGTGGCATGATCTCGGCTCACTGCAACCTCAACCTCCTGGACTCAAGTGATCATCCCACTTCATCCCCCTGAGTAACTAGGACTGTACGCGCACACCAACATGCCCAGCTAATTTTTGAATTTTTGGTAGAGACAGGGTTTCACCATGTGGGCCAGGCTGGTCTCAAACTCCCACTCTCAAGTGATCCACCTGCCTTGGCCTCCCAAAGTGCTGCAATTACAAGCGTGAGCCACCGTCCCCAGCCAGAACCCTGCCTTCTAAACATATTAACTACTTTTATTTTTTATTTTAGTGTGGTGCATAAGAGGAAACATGTATATAAATTATCGATCTCTCAATAAAGGTTCATTTTATTATAGCTTGAAGAGCTTGAAAGATTTGAAACATTTAAAGAATATTGAACTGTAGAGACTGGCTGAGTTTGAGGGCTCATGTTTGATGACTCACAGATGCTGTTTGTATATAGTTTTATCAAAGAAGAGGGGATCTTGGTGCTGGGTAGTATTTTTAGGTTTGATTGACAACATGCAGTTGCCCTCCATCAAGGCTTACACTCCTACCTAAAGTCCATTCAGTTTTTCAAATAAAACAGTGTCTCCGCTACATGTGGTTTTGCCCTTTTGGTTCAGCAGCCTTGTAATCTGTTGACAGCAGATGAAACATGCCCCTGGTTTCCATAAGGTCCACACCCAGCATTTGGAGGATCTGGAACTAGAGGACGAAAGGAGATCTTGGGATGGGCCAGGATTAGGGTGAGGGGAATAAGGCAACGTTTTACAATAAAGACAAGATCAGTGACAGTAGCGTGAGAGTCATATTGGAGCTTGAAGTGAAAGGAAAAAACAGTGATCCTATCTTTTAATTATTTATTTATTTAGTAAATCTCTTACCCCAGGCTGGAGTGCAGTGGTGCAATCTCAGGTCACTGCATCCTTGGTCTCCCCAGGCTCAAGCGATCCTCCCATCTCAGCCTCCCTAGTAGCTGGGACTTCAGGCACATGCCACTATGCCCAGCTAATTTTTGTGTTTTTTGGTACAGATGGAGTTTTGCCATATTCCCCAGGTTGGTCTCAAACTCCTGTGCTCAAGCAATCCTCCTGTCTGGGACACCCACAAGTGCTGGGATTACAGTCCTGAGCCACTGGCACCCAGCCTGATCTTATCTTTATGAAAAGTATTGATACTTTGTTCATCATTAAGTTTTACATTGATTTTTATTTTTTAAAATATTACATTGAATATTTATTCATCTTGATCATTGAGCTTTTGGTGCTCCCTTAAAATTTGCACTTGTGGTAAGTTATATCCTCACTTTCCTCCTCTTAGTTTTTTCCCTGCCTTGGGCCTAGGAGTGCACACAAATAGGCACCATCCGGCCTCACTGCAGACTGAGGAAGAAGTCTGCATGGCCTCCAGATTGGGCCTATGGCTGCAAAGGTTTCCTTGCCTGTGGAGAGGAGAGTGTGTGGAGGAGGGCCATTGCAGGAGTGAAACTCTTTGGCGCAGTCAAACTCCCTGGGGAGGTTGTGAGACACAAATGGCTCAGATTCTGATTCTGTAAGTCTAAGGTAGGAACCAAATATTCTGGTTTTTTTTTTTTGTCTTTTTGAGACAGAGTCTGGCTCTGTTGCCCAGGCTGGAGTTCAGTGGCATGATCTTGTCTCACTGCAACCTCTGCATCCTAGGTTCAAGCAATTCTCCTGCTTCAGCCTCCTGAGTAGCTGGGACTATGGGTGTGTGCCACCACACCTGCCTAATTTCTTGTATTTTTAGTAGAGACTGGGTTTCACTGTGTTAGTCAGGATGATCTTGAACTCCTGACCTGATGATATGCTCACCTCAGCCTCCCAAAGTGCTGGGATTACAGGCATGAGCCACAACTCCCAGACAAGGTTTGTCATTTCTAACAAGTTCTCAGGTGTTGCTGGACAAGGGTGTGGATTTTGAGGACACTTGCTCTAAACCAGTGGTCCCCAACCTTTTTGGCACTAGGGACTGGTTTATGGAAGGCAGTTTTTCTACAGATGGGGTTGTGGGGGTGATTTTGGGACGATTCAAGTGCATTACGTTTACTGTACACTTTATTTATATTATTATTACATTATATATGTATTGAAATAATTATACAACTCACCATAATGTGGAATCAGTGAGAGCCCTGAGCTTGTTTTCCTGCAACAAGATGGTCCCATCTAGGGGTTATGGAGGACAATGACAGATCATCAGGCATTAGATTCTCATAAGGAGCATGCAACATAGGTCCCTTGCATGCACAGTTCACATTAGGGTTCATGCTCCTAAGAGAATCTAATACTGCTATTGATCTGACAGGAGGCAGAGCTTAGGTAGTAATGTTCACTCAACTCCTGCTGTGCAGCACCCCCATACCAGTCTGTGGCCCCAGGTTTGGGGACCCTTGATGTAAACCCTGGTGTTCAGAACAAGCTTTAGAGCAGTAGTCCCTCTCGCCTGCATCCAAGAAGCTGCTTATGAGACACCTTGACTCCATGCATGGCGAGTATGGAGAGGCTCAGGATTCTTTACCAGACTTACCTTTGGATTTGTTTGTCTAGCAGCCTATCTTGAATATACCCTTCAGGGGAAAGATTGCATACTTTTCTGCTTACCTGGCCAGTCCTACCTTGACAGGTTTCCATGCATGGGGTATACAGAGAGGCTTAGCATTCTTTACGAGACTTACCTTTGGATTTGTTTATCTAGCAGCATATCCTGAATGTACCTTCAGGGGAAAGATTGCATACTTTTCTGCTTACCTGATGAGTCCTACATTTGTCACTCTTATTAATGGAGACTTCTCCAGGATGCTGAATGCTTGTTTTAGAGTGAATCATTGCTGCAGATTTTTTTGTCCTGTCAATTTCTTGCATGATATATGGAAATGACAGCTACAGTATCTGATGTCAGGTGGTTCTTAAGTACCCCTAGGTTTTGTTTTAAAATTTGTTTCTTAAAATAGTACATTGGCTCACGCCTGTAATCCCAGAACTTTAGGGAGAGGCAGAGGCAGATGGATCACAAGGTCAGGAGATCGAGACCATCCTGGCCAACATGGTGAAACCCGTATCTACTAAAAATACAAAAATTAGCCAGGCATGGTGGCATGTGCCTGTAGTCCCAGCTATTCAGGAAGCTGAGGCAGGAGAATCACTTTAATCAGGGAGGTGGAGGTTGCAGTGAGCTGAAATTGCACCACTGCACTCCAGCCTGGGCGAAGGAGGGAGACTCTGTCTCAAAAAAAAAAGAAAAAAAAGTACATTAAGGCCCAGGCAGGAAGATCATTTAAAACCAGGAGTTTGGGACTAGCCTGGGCAACATGGCAAGACACTGTCTCCACAAGAAATTTAAAAATTAGCTGGACATGCTGGCATGTGCCTACAGTCCCAGAAACTCTGGAGGCTGAAGCAATAAGAGGATCACTTGAGCCCAGGGGATCAAGGCTGCAGTGAGCTGTGATCGCACCACTGCAGTCCAGCCTGGGTGGCAGAGCGAGGTTCAGTCTCAAAATAAATAAGAAAAATTAGAAAATTTGAAAAGCACATTTTTTAAAGTACATTAAAAACATTTTAACAATAATATTGTTTTTATATATAAAGAGGAAAATAAAAATGACTCATAAACCTTCCACTTAAATGACTCCTGTTGGTGGTAATGGGATCAAAAGTATAAAATAAAGCAAAAACCACTTTCTATGCTTTCCTCCCTACTCCAATCCTTCTCTTCAATGTTGATGTTTTTGTGATTTCTTCCAGGAAAAAAAATATTTTTATTTATATCTGTCCATCCTTCTAATATTATTTACACAAGAGTGGCCATACCATTAACACTGTAGTTACCTTTTTTTTTTAAACTTAGCAATGTATCTTGGACTTGTTTCTATATCAGCACATAACAGATTTACTTTAATCTTCTGAATGGTTTATAGGATTAATCACTGGGATATTCCAGTATATAACTATTCCTGCAATTAAGATTGCTACTAGAGCAACCCAGTAGTAAATATCTTTGTCCATATATCTTGAAAGGCATTTATGATTCCAGCCATAGAAGTACTGCCAATAGTGGGGTTGCTGGACAAACAGTGTGTGCATTTTTAGGTATGAAGGCCAATATCACCCTGCCCTCAAGAAAGGTTCACTCCCACCATGACAAGGGGCGTGCCTGTTTCCCCAACACCTTTACACACAATGAATATTACAGAAGTGAAAAAGGAAAATATAGTATTCCAATAGGAATAAAATACAGGATAACTAGAAATTAACTTGATAAATATGTACTATCTGTGTGAAGAAAACTTTAGTATGCTCCAGAGGAACCCAAAGGAAGACTTGAACAAATCAAAATTTTGCCAGTTTCTTGCATGGGAACTTGCAGCTTGGTGAAAATATTCATTTTCAGTTAGCTATGATTTGAACATGACCTAGTAAAAATACCCACAAGTTTTTTTCTGGTGGAGGAAAGGGAATTTACTGAGCAGATTTTTTAAAGATCATTTAGAAAAACAAATTAGGAGGATACAAAACATAAACAGGAATATAGGAAAATTTGAGAAATGGTTTAACCAGATATTAAAACATAATGTGAAATTAAAATTGTTTGAAGTAGTGTTTTATACAAATAGATTGATGGATCACAGTCATAAACTCATATCTGGGAATATAATGAATGATAAATGGCATATAATATATGGCATCTGAAATCAATGAGGAAAAATAGATAAACCCCTGTGTGTGGGTGTGTGGGGGAGTTAAATTCATATTGCATAGTTTACCTGGGATAAATCCCAAATCAATCAAAGATTTTTATGCAAAAAAATGAAATAAGTTTTATGAGAATTCACAAGATAACTGTTTTACAATTCCAGGTCTTTCTCCTATGACATAAAACTCAGAAGCCATTGAAAGCAAGATTGGTAAATTTAGCTTTATTTAAAAAGTTTTCCATGGAATCACTTGAACCCAGGAGGTGGAGTTTGCAGTGAACTGAGATAGTGTCACTGCACTCCAGCTTGGGCACCAGAGAGAGACTTTGTCCAAAAAAAAAAAAATTTCATAGCAAAACCTACCATATACAAAGTCAAAAGGCAAGCAACAAATCGGGGACAGATAAATAGAAACCAAATTTCCTAATATGTAAACAGTTCTTACAAACCAATAGAAAAAAGGTCCAATGACCCAAAAGGATGCCAGGCAAAGATAATGGACAGACAGTTCACAGAGAAGGAGAAACAGCATTTAAATGTGAAATGTTTAATAAGAAAAAAATACAAATTACACAATAAGAGAAATATAAGTTAACATCTCACAGGGATCATTTTTTTTTTTTCCACTGACAATAGCCACAGTATGGGAAAACAAACAACTTTATACATCACTGATGCCAGATAAATCCATAGTACTGTATAGAAGAAATCTAGCACTATCTGAAAAAATTACAATGCAGACATATGTATGACATATATATGTGTGTATATATATATATATATATATATTTTTTACACCTCTGATTTTTGATTTTATTTTTAATTTTTGTGGGTACATAGTAGGTGTATATATTTATAGGGTACATGAGATGTTTTGATACATGCACGCAATGCATGTATTTTTAACCCAGCAATTCAACATCTATGAATTTATTTTTTATATGTACTACAAGCGCACATGTGCAAAATCATATAGGAATGATATTTTTCACTAAACGATTACTTATAAAAGCAAAAGTTTTCATAGACCATGGTATATCACACAATGGATCTGTAGAAAAGACTGAGAAAACACTCTGTGTACTGCTATGAAATGGTGTCTAAGAAAAGTATACTGTTTTTGTTGTTGTTGTTTTTGAGACGGAGTTTAGCTCTTGTTGCCCAGGCTGTAGTGCAGTGCTGCTATCTCGGCTCACTGCAGCCACTGCCTCCCGGGTTCCAGAGCTTCTTCCACCTTAGCCTCCTGTGTAGCTGGGATTACAGGCATGCGTCACCACACCTGGCTAATTTTTTTTTTTTTTATTTTTGGTAGAGATGGGGTTTCATCATGTTGGCCAGGCTAGTTTATACTCTTGACCTCAAGGGATAATCCCACCTCGGCCTCCAAAAAGTATAGGGATTACAGGCATGAGCCACCACAGCTGCCTGAAAAGTGTCCTGTTAATTGATAAAAACTGATTTTAAAAAGCCAGGTGTGTAATGTTATGCTGACATTTGTGTAGAAGAGGAGGGAAATATATAGACCTATTGACTTTTGTATGAATACTTTGATTGTTAATGCATATACACACAAAAAGATAATAATGTATTTCCTCTATGGAAATAAATGTCTAGGAGGTAAAGGATAGGGCTAGGATGTAGACTTTTCACTGAATACACATTTGTACCTTTTGAATTTTGAACTTTGTTTCCCCTTCTCAAAAATAAGTAAATTAGAAGTCCAAATTTTAAAATAATTCAATAGGTAAAAATATTCCTGGTTTTGATTTGTGTAATTCTAATGCTGAGATAGAATGTTTTTTCAAATATTGGTTAGCGTTTTACATTTTGTAAGCAATTGCCTCTTCATATATTTTGCCTATGTAGAATTTATTTTGGGGTAAGGAGGGTTTCGCAAATTAAGGAAATTAGCCCTTTATCTTAAGGGTCACAGAAATTTTGTTTAAGTTTGTCTTTTGACTTTGTTTATGCTACTTATTGCCTCCTAGAATTTTTATATTTGTTCAGTGTATTTTCCTTCTTTTCCCTTCCCTTCTTCATTTCTGTTTTCTTTTTCTTTTTTTCTTTTTTTTCTTTTTTTAGAAGGTGGAAATGACTTTTTCATTGTGATCACTGAGAAGATGACTCTGGATCTAAGACATTCCATTATTATTTTATTTTATTTTTGAGACAGAGTCTTGCTCTGCTACCCAGGCTAGATAGAATGCAGTGGCCCTGGCCAGGCGCCATAGCTCACGCTTGTAATCCCAGCACTTTGGGAGGCCGAGGAGGGCGGATCACGAAGTCAGGAGACAGAGAACATCCTGGCTAACACAGTGACACCCCGTCTCTATTAAAAATACAAAATAAAATTAGCCGGGCGCGGTGGCAGGCTCTTGTAGTCCCAGCTACTCTGAAGGCGGAGGCAGGAGAATGGCGTGAACCCGGGAGGAGGAGCTTGCAGTGAGCCGAGATCACGCCACTGCACTCCAGCCTGGGCGACAGCGAGACTCCGTCTCAAAAAAAAAAAAAAAAATAAAAATGCAGTGGCCCAATCATGGCTGATTGCAACCTCCCCATTTGCGGCTCAAGCAGTCCTCCCACCTCAGCCTTGTGAGTAGCCAAGACCACAAGCACCAACTAATTTTGAGGGTTTTCTCTTTTTTTAGAGAGACCGGGTTTCACCATGGTGCCTAGGCTGGTCTCAAACTTCTGGGCTCAAGCGATGCGTCTTCCTAGGCCTCCCAAAGTGCTGGGATTATAGGCATGAGCCACCACGCCTGGCCAGAATCCAATCATTAGTGTCTTTGGGTGATTTGGAAAATGACAGTCTGCTTATGAAGTACGTTTGAAGACAGCAAAAAGTGAGACAAACTCATTTTAGCAGTAACCTAGAGGATCCTCCCTGAGGGCAAGGGGAGAGGGACTTGGGCAGGGCTGGGTGGGTGTCCTAGTGGGTCTGTGATGAGCCTCTCCTCTCTCCACTCCAGCAGAGCTCCCTGGATCCTCAACAGTAAGGCTGACCTCCCTGTGTGACCTGCCCACCCAACTCCTGGAGCTGTACCAACAGGGCTTCTCTCTGGCAGCCATGCACCCCTTTGTGCAGCCCACCCATGGACAGGAGAAGACACCCCTGGAGCATATCTTTAGGGCCATCCTCATCAAGAAAACCGACAGGTAAGGCCTCCCTGAGTAAATAGGTAGCATCCTGCTGTGGCTAAGCTATGCTCAACAGAGAAGAAGTGAGAGTTTGGGGTTGGGGGGTTGAAATTTGCATGCAGTCCTCAGGGCCTCTGCCCTCAGACAGGTGAGGCAAAAAGTTAGACAATCAGAGAGGTTTCCTAGCGTCCTGCAATGAAAAGCAAACATATGTCTAACTGCAAGTAGAGGGTTCCGTTTAACATTCTTTCTCTCTTTTAACTCACTGCATTAAGCTTAGCTAGAAAAATGTCTCCTCAGAAGAAGGATATGTCCGGAATTATGCAGCTATTAAAAGTGTAATACTTTTGAACTGAAAGGCATGGCTGGAAAATGCAATGCTTTTGTTTAAAGGCTATATACAAACTTAATGTCTTCCCCCAAAGTCTGGAAATACTTTAACATTTTGAGCCTACCATAAATTCTGTCAATCACTTAACAGTTAAAAAAATACGAAATATAAACCCCACCTAAATAAAATGCTGTAATTGGTTTGGTCTTGATTTAGATTTTCAGGGCTTGGGGATAGTTTTCATTTTTCCTTGCCAAGTTCAATGTTTATGCCTACATTTAGATTGGGCCTAATTAAGAAAAGAGAAATGGGGGTAGTCTTTCAAAAGGAACAATATTAATTAAAAAAATGAGAATGGAATGGAGAGAGCAGTTTGTTTTTGCTGCTTTCATAAAAATTAAAATTAAAATGAAGTCTAAGAAAGGGAATCAGATTTGTCTTTTGGCCAACTATCATAGAAGGAATGATAACGTGCTACAGTTTAAAGAGAGAATGCAGAGCAGCTCCTCCTCTTTCTCTCTTTTTAAAGTCGCTTTGCAGGTAGACAAAGCATTTGGCTGGTGTGCTCACAAGGGACAGCTGTGAGGCATGAGGTTGTGTGACTTGACTGACTCCTCTTTTCCTTTCCTTCCCTTCCCTTCCCTTCCCTTCCCTTCCCTTCCCTTCCCTTCCCTTCCCTTCCCTTCCCTTCCCTTCCCTTCCCTTCCTTTCCTTTCCTTTCCTTTCCTTTCCTTTCCTTTCTTTCTTCATGGTTGATCAAGCTCTGTGGCTCTTAGTCTACATCAGTGTAAATTAGAATTTGCTGTGAAAGGTGGTACATGTCTTTGCTCAAACCTAGAATTCACACATTTTTTGGTAAGGCGAGACTTTTCTCAATGTCTGCCTTTTATGTGTATTAGTTTCTCTCTCTCTCTCTCTCCTTCTCTCTCTCTCTGTCTCTCTCTCTCTCTCTTCTGTAGAAATGAGGTCTTGCTATGTTGCCTAGGATGGTCTTGAAATCCTGGCCTCAAGCGATCCTCCCACCTTGGCCTCCCAAACCACTGCGATTACAGGTTACAGCCACTGAGCCTGGATGTGCATTGGTTTCTTTTGTTTTGTTTTTTCTTCCTTTGAGATGGGGTCTCACTCTGTCACCCAGGCTCAGCTCACTGCAACTCTTGCCTTCTGGGCTCAAGCCATCCTCCCACCTCAGCCTCCCAAGCAACTGGGACTACAGGTGCATGCCACCATGCTGGCTTATTTTTGTATTTGTGGTAGAGAATGGGTTTCATCATGTTTCCCAGACTGGTCTGGAACTTCTGAGCTCAAAAGAGTCTCTTGCCTCAGCCTCCCAAAGTGCTGGGATTACAGGAGTAAGCCACCATGCCCAGCCCATTATTGATTTCTTTATGTCGATTGGCTGTTGATCATTATCTGGGTCAATCACAAGAAGAAACTATTTTGGGGGCTTCAGTGGTTTTAAGCAACACTGACACATAGGATATGTATAATAACAGTAGCTCATATTTAGTGAGCACTCACTGTATGCCAGGCTTGATCATTATCATTTCATTGGTATCATACACCTATGAAATAAGTGTCATTTCTGTTCCCATTTTAAAGGTGAGAAAACTGAGACACAAATGTTGAGTTGTCACGATCACACAGAGGCAGCAAGTAGAGCTCTGCCTTGCTCCCAGGAAGGCTGACTCCCATACCTGCATTCTTAATCCTGGCATGAAGCACATGTTGTGTCCCTTTACCCACAATTCTTGTGGATAATCACTTTAGGAAAAAAAGTGGGTGAGGATATCTTTGACATTCCATCAAGAAGCACTTCTATTACTCAACCTTTCCTGCATTTTACCCCTCAGTAGTCTGTAAGTAGGTCAGAATATCAGCAAGGAAACAAAACTGACAAATGCATTATATGGATTATATAAGGCATCCACTGGGCTCCAGTGATTCTATTCTGCAGATTATTTAATTACCCTTAGTGTTTAAAGGAGACGATTCCATTTGGGTCAGATCACCGGTGAATCCTTCAGTGTGATCTGCCATAGGTGGTGATGTGAGCTCAGGATTTGGCCTGAGCTTAACTCAAAAAGGCGAAGATGTGTCCTTTTTTCCCCCCTGCTATGTAGCAATGCTTTTAAAACTTTAATGTGCCTGTGAGTCTCCTGGGGATATGGTTAAAGAGCAGAGTCTGACATAGGTCTGGATGAGGCCTGGGACTCCGCATTTCTAACTCATTTCCAGATGGGGCAGATGCTGATGGTCCATGGCATGCACTTTGAGTAGCAAGGGTTTGGAGGACCTAATTCTTGCCTGGCTTCATGCCTGACACTCAGCAACACTACTGGGGCTTGCCACTTTACTCCCAGGAGAGCTGTAAGCATCAGGCTAGGTAAGAAAGAACACAGGACTCGTGGCCAGCAGGCCTGTGTTCTAGGCTGCATGAGGCTACTGGTAAGTAGTGTTGTGCAAGGGGCAAATCAGTGGATTTTTCTGGGCCTCCGTTTTCTAGCTGCTACAATGAGGGGCTGTTACTACATGATTTGCCTGGCTTGCGCTGAACTCTTAAGTTATCTGATGGGACAAGATGGGTGAGGCAGCCCCTCTTCAGAAATAAGAACCACCACTTTCAGGAATAGTGCATTACAAGCCAGAAGTGAAGCTGGGGGCTCAATAGAGGTTCTTTACTTCCACTTAGATAGCATGAACAAATGAACTTACTTTCCAGAAGACAAAAATGAGCAAACTATTGAAAGGAATGAGACATTGTATGCAGGAGGATTTTCAAGAAATAGAAGTTGGCGGTCTCCTTGGGTTTGATCTCACTTTAGTCCAGAGTTCCTGAACTGCCTGCCTGATGACCTTAATGAACATTTCACTCCTGGACAAGCAGATCCAGAGAAAGAGATTCCTTCGGTAATTTTGTAAGCAGAGTCGTTGTAAAATGTGATTTTAAAGTACAGGAATTTTCTCTCTTAGCAAATACAATAACTGCATTTTTTTTGTATTATGAGAAAAAGACCCCAACAATCTTAAAAATAAGCAAACGAAAAAACAACATGGCCAGGTGCAGTGGCTCACACCTGTAATCCCAGCAATCTGGGAGACCAAGGCAGAAGATTTTCTTGAGCTCAGATGTTCCAGACCAGCTTGGACAACATAGTGAGACCTAGTATCTACTAAAAATTTACAAAATTAGCTGGGTATAGTGGTGCACACCTGTAGTCACAGCTGAGGATGGAGGATTGCTTGGGCCTAGGAGGCTGAGGTGGGAGGATTGTTTGAGCTCAAGAGGTGGAGGCTGCAGTGCAATATGAGTGTGTTATTGCACTCCAGGCTGGGCAACAGAATGATACCTTGTCTAAAACAAAACAAAACAAAACAAAACAAAGAAGGAAACAAACAACAACAAAAACCAGTACTTTTTCTTTATCAATAGGGAGTTTAAGTAGTAAAAACAAAACAAAGGAAGACTTTTGTGATTAATTTTTAAATCGGACAGTTAAAGTGACACTTTTCACAAAGTCTGCCAAAGTTCTGACAGCTATAGATGCTGTTAAATGAAATGACTTAGCTTCTAAAAGGGAAAGAAATGCTTGGTTAATATTTTTCAAGTGGAGCGCATTCAAAGAGATGTAGACACACTTTCTAGATTACCACTGGTCCAAATGAAGTTCATTACCACGAATCACCATGAGATGACTGTGTGGAACTTCAGTATCAACCTAATTGTGTTTGAAGGGTTCACATTAAGTTTTTAGCAAATGACTGTGCCTTGGGATATGCCAGAACCACCAAACAGAACCCCTCAAGCCCACATTTATTCCCTCACTCATTCACTCACACCTTGCTGAAGGTGTACTCTTTTCAGGGTATTGTGCTAGGAGCTCTATGTGGTGGGAAGTTAGAGGGTGCAAGTACATGGTTCAATTGAACATGCAGCCTGGATTCCAGGTACTTGCAGTCTAAGTAATTAAATCAGATATGTGTCTTATGCCATGTGAGTTTGGGAAAAGGTGATGCCATATCTCAACGGAAGAGAAACAAAGGAAATGTTTCTGGAGGAGCAACTTTTAAATTGGGCCTGATTTCTTTTGGGCAAACATGGGGAGTAATGAGAATGAGGCAGGAAAAGTTTATTTAAGTCTCCTAATGAAAAATGTTTTCTAGTGGTGTTTGAGTAATTGGAGAGCATTGTTGCCAATCTAACTAAATTATTAATGAGTCACTCCAAAAGTAGTTATCAAGTGCAGTAACATTCCTTTGAGCTCACTGCCATGTTGACAGATTTCACTTACATCCATGAAAAATCACCTGATCTTTTCTTTTGAAAATTCTAACAACTGCCATTTCATTTTACCATGGCAGGCCAAGCCACACATCTAACTATAAATTGTTCTTTATTCTAAGTGTATTGAATTTATTGAAGTCAGTTACTTTGAGTCAAGTTACTTTGACTCAAGAATGAATAGCTGAATATGAAATACTTAGTGAATAAGTAGAAAGAGAGTTTGTACTCCATTTTCTGAACTCTTTCTTTGGAACACTTAATGATTTTTAACAGACAATATAGTTGCAATCACTCTGAATTCAAAGTATAGTTAAGTGATCCTTCATTTTTTTTCAAGTAGTTTTTCTTAGAATGAGTTGCTAAAGATCTTGAAACTTGATGGCTAAGAGAAGTCAGTTATCAAAACATCTTTTCTGATGTTTCCTGAGCGTAGTTTAATACTAGGATGTTCTATGGTTTTAGATGTAAGTGCAGTACCAAAATGCATAGTGCTTGCCATTTTTCAGCTGTTGAATTGTCATTTTTCACACATGGAGCTAGAGTGTCACTGGTGTGTTTTTCGTCAAGAATAAGTTGAAGTCATTTGGCTACAGCTTCCATAGAGTAATGCGTTACATGGTACAGGGACCAGGAAACTAGGGGACTCTGTGGACATGTATCAGGCACCTTTTGGCCGAGGATTGGGGTGTGGGCTCATGGAGAAGCTGTAGTTAACACAGAGGCTGCAATTCTAAAATTCTTGTGGAAGGTGGAAAATGTCTACAGTCAAAGTTACCCTTGAAAATCTTTTGAAGTGCCCATAAAATCTAATACTATGGCATCTCTCTACCTGACCAATGCATGTCTTGCTTCAGGACTAGATCAGATTGCTGTTTCTAACAGTGAACCCATTGGGAAGGTAAGTTGGTTTGGGTTTATAGTGAATATTCATTGTAATCACACCTAGGGTGGTGAAATGTTTGCATCTAGGGAGGCTTTTGTGGTAATTGACAGTGAGAGAACAGGAACTCCACGTCTCCCTTCTCAAGTTCGTTCTGGGGCACATCTGCCTATTGAATAGAATAGCTGGCGCTGTTTTAAGTGGTAAACATTTATCCCTTTTAGTTGGATTTTTTAAGATAAACATGTGTATGTAATTTCACCATGCAAAGATGACTGTAAGGAGCTCCTAGATCTCAAGAAACTTATCTATCTGCTAGGGAGCTGAAAAATGTATATGCAAATTATATAATTGCCCAGCTAAGTCTACAGGTCTTGGTTTGTATCTCTAACCTGGAAATTGTTAATAAAAGTACTTCAGAAAAGGAGGCTCTGTGGCTCTCATTTGCTCTGGGTTGGGCATGATGGGTAGATTGGAAGAGGCAGAAAAACAGGGGGAAGGAACTCCCCACTACTGACATTGTGGAACAACTGGAACGCAGTGTCCAAAGGGAAACAGTGGGAGGGCAGGCACGAGAAGCCTTGGGGCCTGACACCAGAGACACGCCTGGGAGAGGGTGTTTGTGGAGCTGTGGTGAGCCTCTCAGGCCACAGCCCACTTCTCTAGCTGCTGACTTACCCAAGACTATTTCAGTCCTTGTTCTAGAACAGGTGCCTCTAGTGAATCTTAGAAGAGATGCCATAGGTTGATGAGAGCTACAGTCAGCTGCTTCATTCCAAATTGACCATATGCTTGGAGTCTGAGAAAAGTTTCCTCTTAGGCCATATCAGCAAGCTGTACTCCCAAGTACTTATGAGCAGCACAGGTGACTGAATGAATCAGCCCTGATAATTCAGGGTCAAGTGATGCAAGAAAAACAATTCTTTTGGCCTTTGCTGTTTCATTTCTGGGAAAGTAAATCTCAGAGAATGCTGAGAATGTACCCTTTGTTTCTCCTCCTGAGGACCTGAATCTAAAATCCTGAAGACAATGTCTTTATTCTAAGACAGGGCTTGCAAGCGCAGATGCCTACAGGGCCTGGCTCATTGAATGGGGACTCTTGGGAAGTGGTGAGTCAATGTCTTAGCCTTCTTGTCTTAGCCACTTGTCTTCTAGATGTGAATGCAGCAGTAGGTGAGATATAACATTCAGATGTATATAAGTACATTATTAGTGATTTAAAGGTTCTTGAGATTTTGATAAAATGATTGTCTCTAAAATCTATCCAAATTTTATATTTTAAATGATTGAAAGATGGAACCATTTACAAAGATGTAAATGCTATAAAATGCTGTAAGTATGTGAAAATATGATAAATATGCTATAAATATGAGTACATCATTTCATTCACTTCCTATTCATCAACCATGAGTTGGAACTTAAAATGGCTGCAAAGGTTTTATAAACTAAATTAGTAACTTGTGTTCACATAACATCTGTTCCTCAGAGTCTGAGAGCACTTTGCTTCATTCCTGTATGTTTTAAGTGTTATAATTAACTCTCACTATGTCCTCATGATAATTGTTTTTGTTGTTAATATTTGTCAAAAACATTACTCTGTTTTCAGCAGAGGTATTAGACATACACTCCTTTGTAACTGAAAGGTACTTCCCTCATTCCCCACTTCTCATTTTATGTCTAGGAAAATGAGGCTGAAGAAGTTATTAATGACTTCTCAGTTCTGAAGTTTGAAGTGGGTAGTGGGAGTGTGTGGTGAATGTAGAACTCAAGTTCCATCTTGAGACTCATGGCACAGAAATACATCATCTTTAAGCTCAGAGATCCCAGAGCTTATAGGAACATCTTCAGAGAATTCTGAGACTCTTCTAGGCTTTGTAGCATCCCCAGTCCCCACGGCTATGCTGTGGGACCAGAGGCTTGGCTAATTCCCCAGCTGGTTTCAGAATATAGGGCTACCACTGCCAAACACTTAGAGCTCTCCAGATGGCTCCATTCAGCAGGCTGGCTGGGTCTTGTCAATTTGTGCACCAAATGATTATATGTAAAGAATGGTTCTAGGGCTATCAGTATGTTATTTTCTCTCTGCTCCCTAAAAACAAAATAAAAATGTATTCATTACATGTCTGTTGGGTTCTCTAATGTAGCAGTCTTTGTTAGAGAGAATGAGATGGACACAATTCCTGCTCTTGGGGAATTTGTAATATATTGCTTTAGTTTAAGTCTCCAAAATTGCTCCATCAAGCAACCTGGATCTCTTAGGAACAAAATGTCCCCTTTTCTTGTAAAGAACATTTATGTGTTTGCAGTTACTTCTTCATGTGATTTCTCATTTTTTATAATAGCCGTCATAGCTACCATTTATTTGCTGCTGCGCTTGGCCAGAGTCCTTGTTCATTGCTTCATGATATATATTATCCTTATTCCTGAAAACCAAGATGAAAGAAATGAGTCTCAGAGTGGTACTTGTCCAAGCCATTGTCCACACATTTCATGAGTAGAGAAACCAGGTTTCACATTGGCACCTTTCTTCTAATAGCATTCCTCTTTAATTGTTTAGCTATGAGGGTTAAGGTAGGGAAAGGGGTGGAATTTCTCAGCCTTGGTACTATTGACATTTTGGGCCAGACAACTGTATGTGGGACTGTCCTGTGCATTGTAGGATATTTAGCAGACTCCCTGGCATCTACTGACAAGATTTTATGAGCAAAGCCCCTATCCCTGCAGTTGTGACAGGTTCCAGACATTGTCTAATGTCTGCTAATGGGCAAAACTGCCCCCATTCGAGAGCCGGTGGGTTTGTTAGGGAGTGAGACAGTGAGTCTGACTTTAATTTTCTTCTAGGTAGCCACCTTTGCCAAGAGTGCTTACTACCTTGACCCATCTTTGCCATTAAATGAAATGCCACCTTTATTAGAGTTAGGATTTCTATATGTATGTCCCAACCTACTCCTGATTCTTTACTGTTCCTTTGATCTACTTATTGATTTTATGCCACTATCATGTTGTCTTGATGATAATAAATTTGTAATGTATATTATATTAACATCTAGTAGGGCACTTTTTTTTTTTTTTTAGATGGAGTCTTGCTCTGTCTTCAGGCTGGAGTGCAGTGGCACGATCTCGGCTCACTGTAACCCCTGACTCCCTGGTTTAAGAGATTGTCCTGCCTCAGTCTCCCGAGTAGCTGGGATTAGAGACATCTGTCACCATGCCCAGCTAATTTTTTGTATTTTTAGTAGACACAGGGTTTCACCATATTGGCCAGGATGGTCTCGATCTCCTGACCTCATGATCTGCCTGCCGCAGCCTCCTAAAATGCTGGGATTACAGGCATGAGCCACTGCACCTACTGCACCTGGCCAGGGCACTATTCTTTTTCAGGATCTTGATAACTTTTGTACATTGATTTTTCCATATAAAGCCTGCAGTAATTTGCTTCAGTTCCTGGTAAACTTTGTTGAAATTGTTGTTAGATTAACATACTAATTTAAGAAGAATTTCCACCTTGTGTTTTTGAGAACATAATGTTCAATATTATGGTTGAGGGTAAATTTTATCTGAGATGTTCATAATAATTCTGGATGTTCTATGTACTATCTAGACAGTGGTTACCAAAGTTGGGTAGACATATTTAGTGTTGAAGGAAAACTGAGGTGTCAATTTTTACATATTTTATTGAAAAATTAGGAGACAGATGAACTGTCGTAATATTTAACATTTAGGTTGAAGGTGGTGTTCTGGCTTGATGTGTACATCAGAGGTGACCTGGGCTATATGGAGCAGGAGGGCCTGCAAAAGAGCTGGGTTCAAGGAAGCACTTTCGAATGTGATCTCAGTGAGGTGAATTGGTGGATCGCTTTTTGTAGTTTTAGCTAAATTAACTCTCATGAGATATACACATGGCTTTAAAAAATTTCTATAAAGTGATTGCAGATAGCAGGGAATACCAGAAATGTAAATGTAAAATCCTTCTCTGTCTCTTGTACACACATGTAGAAATGGCTACACTGACCCATCTGTAAGAGCTTTGTGGGACACAGTGGGACATTAAAACACCAATGCCTACCTATTCAGATCCGATTTAAAGAAATTTGGAATTATCAAGGAGACTTTTTGTAGAGTGGATCATAATTCCATTATTTTAACAATGAATCTCATTTCAAGTGTGTATTTTGCTTTGAGGTATTAGCTATTAATAGTATGAATTTACTGTGATCGTCATTATAAAATATTGCTTATTTCATTATTTCTGATATTTACAGTATTCTGTTTTGTGTTTTGTTTTATAACACATGTAAGATGTTAGTACAGTGCTATTCAGGAATTTTTTTTCTGGCAGGCTGTGTGACCAGAAAAATTTGGAGACAATTTATCCACTCAGTATTTGAGACACACTGGAACTGGTGGCTCCTGAAAGAGTCAGAATCTTGCTACTCAAAGTGTGGTCCATGGACCAGCATCATCAGCATCTCCTGGGAGCTCTTAGAGTTGCAGACTCTCAGGCCCACACAGACCTGTCAAATCAGAGTCTACACGTTAACAAGGTTCCAGATGATTTGTACACACATTAAAGTTTGAGAACTGAGTTAAGCTGTATTTTCCTGTAAGACAGCCATTAGCGACGTAAAGCCATTTAAATTGTTAAAATTAAATAAGTTTAAAAATTCAGTTCTTCAGTTGCAGTGGCTGCGTTTCAGGTGCTCAGTAGCAAAATGTGTGTAGTGGCTATTTTACTGGACTGTACAGATACAGAACATGTCTATCACCTAACTCAGTTGGGGGCATAGGTGGGATGATTTGGAAAAGAAGAAAACAATCAGCAAATTTTAACATGTAACATGTGCATTACATGCACAGAGAAGAGACTTTTTGTAACCTAACTGGACAGGCCCCATGAGAGTCTTATGAAGACCATTCCTATGTAGCTATTATTGCTATTTTTGTTTGGAGATGTGTGACTTTTCTGAACCAGTAAATATCAGGCAGACTGCTTTTATTCAGTGTTATATTTGCAATAAAATATTATTAATTATGCATCACTACTAATACTAGATCTTTCTACATCTGTCAATGTAAAGGAGAGCCTTGCACGATTCCAGAGAAAGCAGGACCCTTACGCAGCTCCCATTCCATGTGGCTGCTCTCTTCTTTTCTGTATCCCAGCTCTCTGGGGATTGAAATTCCTTCACAGCTCCAATATACAGGGAGCACTGAGGCAAAGTTTGCCTGTTTTCCCCTTGGCCTTTAAGGTTAACAGTGCACTCCTTGTAGTGCACAGTGGCAGGTGGTTTGTCTCCCAGAGAGCTGGCCCTGACCATAAGCAGGGAGCCAGGATGATTTCTCTAGAATAAATAGTAGGATCAGATAGTGATGTCCCTGGTAACATGTCCCCAGTAGGCATGTACAGCTCCCTGAGGGAGTGTGTGATGGGGTTATCATTTGCACATCTCCCCTGACATGTTCAGAATGTTCTCAGAGATACCAAACCTTTTCCACAGAAGTGCTGAGTGTTTTCTGGTGGAAGGGGAAGGGAACATCAGAAGAAAGGACAATGAATCAGCAGTGTGTAAATTCTTCTCCTTTTTGTGCTTCCTAATTTACAACTCCCTTGGAGGACCCTATAGTGAGGTGCTTGAAATTCATTTAAAGACTCACTAGGATTTGCATACTTGCCTATTTTTCCTTAAGTATTTCTTTCTTTTTTTGAGATCAAGAAATTTAATATTTATTTATTTATTATACTTTAAGTTCTAGGGTACAGATGCACCACCTGCAGGTTTGTTACACAGGTACACATGTGCCATGTTGGTTTGCTACACACATCACCTCATCATTTACATTAGGTATTTCTCCTAATGCTATCCCTCCCCAGCCCTCACACCTTGACAGGCCCTGGTATGTGATGTTCCCTGCTCTGTGTCCCAGAGTTCTCATTGTTCAATTCCCACCTATGAGTGAGAACATGCAGTGTTTGGTTTTATGTCCTTGTGATAGTTTTCTGAGAATGATGGTTTCCAGCTTCATCTATGTCCCTGCAAAGACATGAACTCATCATTTTTTATGACTGCATAGTATTCCATGGTGTATATGTGCCACATCTTCTTAATCCAGTCTATCATTGATGGACATTTGGGTTGGTTCCAAGTCTTTGCTATTGTGAATAGTGCCACAATAAACATACGTGTGCATGTGTCTTTATTGTGGCATGATTTATAGTCCTTTGGGTATATACCCAGTAATGGGATGGCTGGGTCAAATGGTATTTCTAGTTCTAGATCCCTGAGGAATCGCCACGCTGTCTTCCACAATGGTTGAACTAGTTTACACTCCCACCAACTGTATAAAAGCATTCCTGTTACTCCACATCCTCTCCAGCATCTGTTGTTTCCTGAGTTTTTACTGATCCCTATTCTAACTGGCATGAAATTGTATCTCACTGGGGTTTTGATTTGCATTTCTCTGATGGCCAGCAATGATGAGCATTTTTTCATGTGTCTGTTGGCTGTGTAAATGTCTTCTTTTCAGAAGTGTCTGTTCATATCCTTTGCCCACTTGTTTTTTTCTTGTAAATATGTATAAGTTCTTTGTAGATTCTGGATATTAGCCCTTTATCAGATAGGTAGATTGCAAAACTTTTCTCCCATTCTGTAGGTTGCCTGTTCTCTCAGATGGTAGTTTCTTTTGCTATGCAGATGCTCTTTAGTTTAATTAGATCCCATTTGTCAATTTTGGCTTTTGTTGCCATTGCTTTTGGTGTTTTAGTCATGAACCCTTTGCCCATGCCTATGTCCCGAATGATATTGCCTACGTTTCCTTTAGGGTTTTTATCGTTTTAGGTCTAACATTTAAGTCTTTAATCCATCTTGAATTAATTTTTGTATAAGGCGTAAGAAAGAGATCCAGTTTCAGCTTTCTACATATGGCTAGCCAGTTTTCCCAGCACCATTTATTGAATAGGGAACCATTTCACCATTTCTTGTTTCATGAGGTTTGTCAAAGATAAGATGGTTGTAGATGTGTCATGTTATTTCTAAGGACTCTGTTCTGTTTCATTGGTCTATATATCTGTTTTGGTATAAGTATCATGCTGTTTTGGTTACTGTAGCCTTGTAATACAGTTTGAGGCCGGATAGCATGATGCCTCCAGCCTTGTTCTTTTTTCTTAGGATTGTCTTGCCTAGGCAGGCACTTTTTGGTTCTATATGAACTTCATAGTAGTTTTTTTTCCAATTCTGTGAAGAAAGTCATTGATAGCTTGATGGGGATGGCATTGAATCTATAAATTACCTTGGGCAGTATGGCCATTTTCACAATATTGATTCTTCCTACCCATGAGCATGGAATGTTTTTCCATTTGTTTGTATCCTCTTTTATTTCATTGAACAGTGGTTTGTAGTTCTCCTTGAAGAGGTCCTTCACATCCCTTGTAAGTTGGATTCCTAGGTATTTTATTCTCTTTATAGCAATTGTGAGTGGGAGTTCACTGATGATTTGGCTCTGTTTGTCTGTTATTGGTTTGTAGGAATGCTTATGATTTTTGAACATTGATTTTGTATCCTGAGATTTTGCTGAAGTTGCTTATCAGCTTAAGGACATTTGGGGCTGAAACAATGGGGTTTTCTAAATATACTATCATGTCATCTGCAACAGGGACAATTCGACTTCCTCTTTTCCTAATTGAATGCCCTTTATTTCTTTCTCTTGCTTGGTTTTCCTGGCTAGAACTTCCAACACTATGATGCATAGGAGTGGTGACAGAGGGCATCATTGGCTTGTGCTGGTTTTCAAAGGGAATGCTTCCAATTTTTGGCCATTCAGTATGATTTTGGCTGTGGGTTTGTCATAAATAACTCTTAATATTTTGAGATATGTTCCATCAATACCTAGTTTATTGAGAGTTTTGAACATGAAGGGCTATTGAGTTTTTTGAAACCCTTTTCTGAATCTATTGAGATAATCATGTGTTTTCTATCATTGGTTCTGTTTTTGTGATGGATTATGTTTATTGATTTGTTTATGTTGAGCCAGCTTTGCATCCCAGCCAACTTGATTGTGGTGGATAAGCTTTTTGTTGTGCTGCTGATATCCTTTCTTCCACTTGATCGAATCGGATATTGAAGCTTGTGCATGTGTCGTGAAGTTCTTGTGAAATGCTTTTCAGCTCCATCAGGTTATTTAAGGTCTTCTCTACACTGTTTATTCTAGTTAACCATTCATCTCACCTTTTTTAAGGTTTTTAGCTCCTTGCAATGGGTTAGAACATGCTCCTTTCACTCGGAGAAGCTTGTTATTACTGACCTTCTGAAGCCTACTTCTATCAACTTGTCAAAGTCCTTCTCCATCCAGCATTGTTCCATTGCTGGTGAGGAGCTGCGATCATTTGGAGGAGATGAGGCACTTTGATTTTTAGAATTTTCGGCTTTTCTACTCTGGATTCTCCCCATCTTTGTGGTTTTATCTAGCTTTGGTCTTTGATGTTGGTGACCTACAGATGGGGTTTTTGTGTGGATGTCATTTTTGTTGTTGAAGTTATTCCTTTCTGTTTGTTAGTTTTCCTTTTAGCAGTGAGGCCTCTCAGCTGCTGGTCAGTTGGAGTTTGCTGGAGGTCCTCTCCAAATGCTGTTAGCTTGGGTATCACCAGCAGAGGCTGCAGAACAGCAAATATTGCAGAACAGCAAATATTGCCGCCTGTTCTTTCTTCTGAAAGCTTTGTCCCAGAGGGGAACTTGCCTGTACGAGATGTCTGTTGGCCCCTACTGGGAGGTGTCTCCCAGTCAGGCTAGATGGGGGTTAGGGTCCCAGTTAAGGAGGCAGTCTGTCCATTCTCAGAGTTCAAACGCCCTGCTGGGAGAACCACTGCCCTCTTCAGAGCTAGCAGACAGGGACATTTAAGTCTGCAGAAGTTTCTGCTGCCTTTTGTTCAGCTATGCCCTGCCTACAGATGTGGGGTCTATAGAGGCAGTATGCCTTGCTGATTTGCTATGGGCTCCACCCAGTTCAAGCTTCCCTGCTGCTTTGTTTACCTACTCAAGCCTCAGGAATAGTGGACACCCCTCCCCTTGCCAGGCTGCAGCCTCGCAGGTAGATCTCAGACTGCTGCCCTAGCAGTGAGCATGGCTCCATGTGTGTGGGACCACCAAGCCAGACACAGGAGAGAATCTCCTGGTCTGCCTCTTGCTAAGACCATGGAAAAAGTGCAGTATTTGGGTAGGAGTGTCCTGTTTTTCTAAGTACAGTCTGTTATGGCTTCCCTTGTCTAGGAAAGGGAAATCCCCTATCCCCTATTGCTTTTTGGGCGAGGTGACTCCCTGCCCTGCTTCAACTCACCCTCCAGGGGCTGCACCCACTGTCCAACTAGTCCCAGTGATATGAACCAGGTACCTCAGAGTTGGAAATGCAGAAATCATCCATCTTCTGCACTGATCACACTGGGACCTGCAGACTGGAGCTGTCCTATTTGGCCATCTTGAGATGGACCTCCTTAAGTATTTCTTAAGTTTCGTTATAGGGGAAACGTTTAACTCCCGCAGTCTCATTGTATTTGTGTAGATTTTGTTCATTTTGCAAAGAGGGTTCATAAAATTGTGGGAAATCTTTCCCTATTGTTCTGGGACCATCTTTGGGGAGGTGCAGGTTATTACCCTGCCCACAACTACCACCAATTGCAGGAACAAGAAATACCTCTCTTCTACCCACCCACTCCATTAGACAAAAATCTCAGCACAGTTCTCACACCTGCTGTTCTAATATTCTTTCTTTCTTCCTACATCATACACAATGCTGCCTGCTTAAGCTTCCCAGAATCTTTCACTCTAAGGCCACCTGTGACTCTTCTTTCTTCACAGTTAAGGCGACTCCCATCCTTTCTCACTAACTGTGTTTCCCACAATTCTGCCCTGGTCACTGCAGAGCCCACAAGCACACACTCATTCTAACAGTGGATTCACCCACACATTCCCTACGCTCATCATTACAGCCCCTGCTGAGTTACAGGCAACATGCATCTTCACACACCTTTTGCCTAACTGATCTATTTATTATTTCTATCATATAACTCATGCATTTCTCAATCCAGATCTTCAGTAATTTCTGTTCTCATGCCTAAAATGTCCTTTTATCCATTGTCTCATGACTAACTTCCATATAGCCTCAAAGATTAAGCTCACATGTGCCTTGCTCCTTATATTTTCCCCTGATCCTTAACACTGGAAACAATTGAATTCTTATAGCACTTCTGTTTATATACAGTCTGTCAAGACTTGAGGGCAGGATCTAGACTTGAGGGCAGCACCTTGAATCCCTCATATGTGGTCAGCATTCACGCAGATGAATGAATAAGGGAGATCTTTATTGTCATTGTTATACATAAGCTAATGAAACTAGGCATAGCCTTCTTTTTCTTTCATTGACAAATCTTTTTCAGATCTATTGCTAATTTCTCCCCCTAATACTTTTTTAAAAATAGCTGTTCTGATTATTCTATTCGAGCTTGGTATTGCTTTGGGAAAAAAAAAATCTTAAAATTCCTTCCTGTTTCCCAGAGATAGAGAATTTGTTTCTGTCAACTGACATGTAGGATTTTTTTGCCTGGTTGGAGAAGTGCCTAGTAATCTGTTTTTGTTTGTCACCATTTCTTTTGATTATTTCTAAATGAAGCAAAAATAACCCTATTGATGAACTGCACATTCTCTTTCCTTTTCATAACTCCCTAATGTCCTGGGAAAAAGAAAACATTGTTTAAACTCATGGTCTTTGAAGGTGTCTCAGGGATTTATGAGCCGAAATGGGATTTATTAGGTGTTTATTATTTAAACTGTGATGTATATGATAGTTTTTAGTCACATATTTACTTTTTAGAAGTATACTTTATGAAAGTTTTCTGACAGGCAGTTGTTTTTTGGTGGCCTCATTTTAGATCTTCCCATGAGGCCAAAATACATATCCAACTTGCTGCTTGGCACTTGTCAATATCTTGAGGGTTATCTCTTTTGCCAATGATAATTATCAATACTTAAAGCACTCATAAGCATTAGCAGTACTTGTTACAAAAATGTTATTTTAATGTTTTAGGAAAGGATTAAGTCTCACCACTGTGACAGTGGAGTGAGGGGCTGTTTAAATGTGTCAGACAAGGCTGGGCATGGTGGCTCACACCTGTAATCCTAGAACATTGGGAAGACAAGGCTAGAGGATCACTTGAGCCTGGGAATTTGAGACCAGCCTGGGCAACATGTCAAAACCCCATCTCTACAAAAAATATAAATATTAGCCAGGTGTGGTGGTGCACACCTATAGTCCCAGCTACTCAGGAGGGTGAGATGGGAGGATTGCTTGAGCCTGGAAGGCTGCAGTCAGCTGAGATCATGCCGTTGCACTCCAGCCTGGGCAACAGAGTGACATTCTGTCTCAAAAGAAAAAAAATGGTGCGGGTCAGACATCGTCTTTAAGGGTAGTGAGGACCTCCGAAGGTAGCAATCTACTGAGTCATTACAATGAATGCATATTGCATTGGGCTTATGGGTTCATTATTTTGATCATGATACAATTAGATAATCTGTTCACTGTTACTTACGGCCTGGTGTTCAGCCTTCTGTCACTCACATTGGAGCTTGTGTATGTAACTCAGAGACCACAGACTGGTGGTTGAGAGGTCAAGTTCAATCTGAAAGCTGTTGGCCCACATAACATGAAGAAAATATTGTTTGGAGCAAAAACCTGACAGTTATGAGCTACATATAAACACAATTTAAAGGCTTCTTTTGAAAAATTGTAAGATTTGGCAACTCTGGCCTGGAATTTCTAGTAATGTTTGGGATATAAACTGCCTAGTTTACCATGGTTTCCACGTATCTCATTGTGTCCTCAGCATGGTAGCAACATAGCACTCACCATGTATTATCTGCTTGCGTGATTTTCTCACGGCAGAGACAAGTCTCTCTGCAACCACATTGCTCTCAGTAGTGAGACTGTGAAAGGGAATCTGACAGCACTCTGTATTTGAAGAAAATTAGAGGAGAACATATTTCTTGGTGGACATTCCTCTATCTTTTATATGAGAAAAAAATGTCTAGATTATGTACTTTGGTTTTAAAAAGAATCTTTTATAGATTGCCCATAGGCCTTTGAGTTTGAGGCCCTTGCTTTTCCCTCCAACCCTTCCCCTGCTTGGAGAATAACTACACAACCCTTGGCAGACACTAGGGTGGTGGTGAGTGAAGATCTCCAAGTGTGTCTCTGAGTTTGCACACAGTTTGCATTACAGTTGATGTTTATGTGTGAGTAATGAGGTCAACCCGACACAGAATAGGTGGTATTTTATCATGTTTAGAAACAACACTGACATCTGTGACCAGTTGTGTTGACATTTGAATTTCTCTGGCACATGGGCACATGGGCTCTTTGCTCTCTCCTTCCTTGCAGATAGGAAAGGCTTGTGTACAAGTGCTCAGTGTTTAAATCTACTTTCATATGTTTGACATATGATGTCACTTATTTAATGTGTGTGTGGTTTTTTACTTGCTATATTCAACTTTGTCTCAAGTTCTACATATAAGATGTTAAAGAAATGAGGACTGTTTGTAATGACAAAGAAGTTCTGGAGGCCAGTTGAGGTGGCTGATGCCTGTCGTCCCAGCACATTGGGAGGCTGAGGCAGGAGGATTTCTTGAGCTCAGGAGTTTGAGAGCAGCCTGGGTAAGATAGGGAGAATTCATCTTTACAAAAATTCCAAAAACATTAGCCAGGCATGGTGACATGTTCCTGTAGTACTGACTACTTCGGGGGCCAAGGTGGGAGGATTGCTTGGGCCCAGGAAGTTGAGACTGCAGTGAGCCCTTCATCATGCCACTGCACCCCAGCCTGGGCAACAGAGTAAGACACTATCTCAAAAAAAAAAACAAACAAACAGTTCTGGTAATGGATAGTGATGGTGACTGCTATTAAGTACATTGCGAATGTACTTAATGACACTGAATTGTAGACTTAAAAAATGATTAAAATGGTTAATATTATGTGATGTATATTTTACCATAATAAAAAAAATTAAAAAGTGAGGAAAGTAAGAAGTTGGAAGAAGTTTTGTGTTTTTCTGACCAGAGAAGGCACAGACCCCAGTCTTCTATTTCATTATCCCTGGTTTTTTTCCTTTAAGGTTCATTTTCCTCTTAGAATACAAGAGTTTATATTACTCATCTATGTAAGTCATTCTTTCTATTTTTCCCTTTTCCATGGACTTGTTCAGTTATCACCCAAAGATAATCTCTAGGGGAGTGGCAGATACAATGTACCCTGCCTAGGAATAACTTGAGATTTCACAGAAAAGTTGCAAAGGTATTCCAGAGAACTCTCATATGTGTTTCACCTAGTTTCCCACTACAATTAGTATCTTACACTGCCATACTATATTTGTCAAACTAAGAAATTGACAGTGGTACTTCACTATTAATTAAACTGTAGATTTTATTTGGATTTTACCATTTTTCTATGAATGTCATTTCTCAGTTCCAGGATCCAATCCAGGGTACTAAACTGCATTTAGTTGTCATGTTGCCGTGGCTTTTTAACAGGGTTTGGATGTCTTCGTTGCTTCTCCATTGCCTCCAACAGTCAGAACCACTGTTTATGTGCATTGTTCAAACTATTTTGCTATACTCCAAGGATTTGAGTTCATTTTGTCCTGTTCATTCTTGATTTCCAGGAAATCACATCTGCCAGTAGTATCCTTTTATTATCACTTCTTTTAGAAAATTCCTTTGGAATGGTGAAGTAGAGCCTCTCAACTCTCCAGTGCCCTATATAAGTGGGAGTCCCAAGATATGAGATGTGTCAGAGCTCTTTTTAGTTAATTTTTTCCAAGACTGTTTCTGAAAAATGACTCGGCAGCAAATGATGTGTTTTTTGTTGTTGTTGTTTTTTGTTTTTCAAGGAGCCAAGCAATTCTGATTCCAAATCAACATTTAAATTTGACAGTTTGCCAAATTTAGATGATTATCTGCCAGATAATCACATAAACAGATTGACAGATTTCTTCACACCTATTTGCATAGGGTGGATTAAATCCAGTTTCCCTCTTGTGATTTCAAGAAGATAAGTAAATTCCAGAGAAGATTATAAGTTTCTTAACTGAAGAAATTGACAGGGTGTCTCATACCCTTCTCCTTGTCTTACTCCCTTGATTTGACTTCTGGGAAAACAAACAAGTTCTCTTGGTTTTCTTCCTTCTTCCCTGGTTATTCTTTCTTATCTTTTGGGTGATTTATCCGCTTTTCTCCCTACCCTCTTCATGGTGGAGGGTCCCAGAATTAAATTCTTAACTCTTCTCTCTCTACATTAATGGAGATCTCATGTAGCCTCATGCTTTAAGTAATACCTGGGGCTGATGACTCCATGACTCCCAAATTTATATCTCCAGCTGCCTCTCCTGCAGTCCAGACTTCAGTACATATATTCAAGTATGTATGCATGTGCATGTTTGTGTGTATGTGTGTGTATGTATATATATAGATATTCAAATATCTACCAGACATCTCAACTTGGATATCTTCTGGATATGTCATATTCAACATATCTGAAATTTGAATTATCTTTCTTCCCCCCTAGGCCTGTGCCACCCAACCCTTCCCCATCATAGTTCTGGCAAAGTCACCGATTCTCTCAGTTGCTAGGGACAGGATCCTGGAGTCATCTTCATCCTCTTTCCTCCTTCCACACCACGCAACCTGTTTGTTTGCAAATTTTGAAGGTTTCACCCTGAAAATGTAACTGGAACCCAGCACTTCTCACTGCTTCTAGGACACTTTTGCCAACCCACTCTGAGCTACATCATCTCCTGCCTGGACCACTTAGATGGGGTCCCGGCTTCCCCCTATAGCCAGAAGGATCCTTTTTAACACTCAGGAGATCATGACATTTCTCTGTCCCACACCCTACGCAGACTTCCTCTGTCATTCTGAATAAAAGCCATTGTCTTCACTGTGGCCTGAAGGTCTATACTATCCAGCTCCCCTTAGGCTCTCCAACTGTGTTTTCCTTCCTGCGCCCTTCTGCACTGGGCCCCAGCAACAGGGCTTCTTTTCATGACCTCAGCTTAGGGCCTTTGCATGAACTGTTGTTCCCTCTGCATAGAGAGCTCATGCCCTGGATATTACCGTGTCCCAGTCCCTTACCTCCTGGAAATCTTTATTCTAAATTTCATCTCCTCAGTGCTGCTATCCTGACCACCCTTATTAGATCTACAACTGTCTCCCTGCAGCCCCTGCCATTCTCCTTACCCTGCTCTGTTTCTTTTTTTTCTTTTTTCTTTTTTTTTTTAGACAAAGTCTCACTTTGTCCTCCAGGCTGGAGTACTGTGGCATGATCTCAGCTCACTGCAACCTCCGCCTTCTGGGTTCAAGTGATTCTCCTATCTCAGCCTCCCAAGTAGCTGGAATTACAGGCATGCACCGCCATGTGTGCTAATTTTTGTATTATTAGTAGAGATGGGTTTTGTCCATGTTGGCCAGGCTGGTTTTGAACCCCTGACTTCAGGTGATCCTCCCACCTCAGCCTCCCAAAGTGCTAGGATTATAGGTGTGAGCTACCATGCCCAGACCTTTTCTTTTCTTTTCTTTTCTTTTTCTTTCTCTTATTTTCTTTTTTTTTTTTTTAACTTTCCACGGTTGGGCATAATTCCACGTTAGGTGCTCATGCATGTGTATTGTTTGTTGTCTTTTTCCTCCTGTTAGATTATTAGCTCTGCAAAGGCAGAGATTTTGTCACTTCTGTCTATTGATGAATGCTAAATTATAGTACCTGATACATAGTAGTGTGGTATATATTTAATGAATCTATGAGTAATTATGAATGGTGAAAAGTGCTAGAAAGGAAAAGTAAGAACAGAATTTTAGATGATAGTAATAGATCAGCTGCAGGTAGGATTTGTTGAGCCTCATGTTGTGCTTCTGAGCTGGGGGCTTTGCATCTTTTTGTCCCATTTAATCCTTACAGCAATGTTAAGAGATAGCAATGTTCAGAGATAGCTCCATGTAATATCCCATTCAATAGTGAAATAAACTGAAGAACAGAAAGTTTAAGTAAATTGTCCAAAGGTTCACAGCTGATTTTTGGTGTATGGTGTAGTTAGCTCTAACACCTGTAGCCTCTAACTAATAAATTTATTGGAATTTACCATGTTGGCGATGGAGTGTGATGCGGAAGCATATTTTATGATTAGCCAGGCTCTTCTCAGAGTGCCTTTATTTAACTGGATAGTGCTTAATGTTAATTTCCAGATAAAGTAGGTTGGGAGGCTTTTGCTGTTAGTTAACCCTATGTGTGTCTCCAGAAATGCATTCTATGGTTTCTTTTCCCTATTATTTAAACCCAGATCTTCCAAAATTGGAAGCCATTTGGCCTTCTGTCCAGGAGAAGTTTGGTGGTTTCCCATATTCTTTTCCAGGATGATAAAATGATATGGCCCTTTGGGGAGCATACCTAGTATTTCCCATCCCACACAGGAAGGTGGCAATGCCTGCTCAGCTGGGAGTTTCAGGTTAATGCATCTTCCATAGAAACTAGATTGAGAGCGGAATACTTATTCCTTTGTCCTGTGGTATCTCGGACAAGCAGGCCATGGCCCCTGGAGGTCAATTCTAGGTCATGTCCACTTCTGTCTCGCAGGATGGTCCCTGCCCTCAGTGACACAGAACATTCCTCACTTGAGGGAAGCTGCTGTCAGATGTCTGGCTGGATTTTGTGGGTTTGGGCCTAGGCCTGGCCAACAGTGGGTGGCCTGTTCTGAGAATGAACCTGCCATGTTTTCCTCCTCAGGGACTGTATTAGTTTTCTTTTTTCTTTTTGGTATTTATTGGGAGAACCCACCCCTAACATTTCAACGTAGGTTCTTTCTATTTTCCATAAGTGTTAGCTGGCTGAGAAATAAAGAGAGACACTACAAAGAGAGGACTTTTACAGCTGGGCTTCCAGGGTTGACATCACATATCAGGAGGACCATGATGCCTGCCTGAGTCTCAGACCAGAAAGTTTTTAAGGGTTTCAAAAGGGGAGGGGTTGTAAGAACAGAGAGTAGGTACAAAGATCACATGCTTCAAAGTGCAAAAAGCAGAACCACTGATAAGGGTCTAACAAAGATCACATGCTTCTGAGGAAACAGGGCAAAGGGCAAAAGCAAAACCGCTGATGAGGGTCTATGTTCAGTAGTGCGCCTATTGTCTTGATAAACATCTGAAACAACAGAAAACAGGGTTCAAGAGCAGAGAACCAGTCTGACAACAAATTTACTAGGGCTGAGTTTTCCCAACCCTAGTAAGCCTGAGGGTTCTGCAGGAGACCAGTGATTATCTCAGTCCTTATCTCAACCACACAAGACAGACATTCCCAGAGAGGCCCTTCATAGACCTCCCCCAAGGGATGCATTGTTTTCCCAGGGTATTAATAGTAATATTCCTTGCTAGGAAAAGAATTTAGCAATATGTTTCCTACTTGCACGTCCATTTATAGGCCCTCTGCAAGAAGAAAAATATGGCTCTTTTTGCCCGACCCTGAGGCTGTCAGACCTTATGGTTGTCTTCCCTTGTTCCATAAAAATCGCTATTATTCTGTTCTTTTTCAAGGTGCACTGATTTCATGTAGTTCAGACCCACATATTTTACAATCAATTTCTACAGTTAACACAATTACCACAGTGGTTCTGAGGTGATGTACATCCTCAGCTTACGAAGATAACAGGATTAAGATATTAAAGACAGGCATCAGAAATTATAAAAGTATTATTTGAGAACTGATAAATGTCCATATTAAAATGAAATATTCACAATTTATGTTCCTCTGCCACAACTCCAGCCAGTCCCTCCGTTCAGGGTCCCTGACTTCCCATAACAGGTATTAATTTTCTATGCTCTGTAATAAATTATAACACATTTCATGGTTCAAAACAATACGTATGGAAGGGGAACATCACATACCGGGGCCTGTTGTGGGGTAAGGGAAGAGGGGAGGGATAGCATTAGGAGATATACCTGATGTTAAATGACGAGTTGATGGGTGCAGCACATCAACATGGCACATGTCTACATTATGTAACTAACCTGAACGTTGTGCACATCTACCCTAAAACTTAAAGTATAATAAAAAAATACATATTCATTATCATACAGTTTCTGTAGCTCATCGGGGTTCTTTGCTTCAGGATTTATCAGGTAGTATCACTGTTGACTTGGGTTGCAGTCTCCTCAGAGGCTCAACTGAGGAAAGCCCCACTTCCAGCCTCCTTCAGTTTGTTGGCAGGATTCATCTCCTTGTAGTTGTGGGACTGGAATCTCTGTTTTCTTGCAGCTGTTGGCCAGGGGCTACCCAGAGTTCCTTGCCATATGGCTCTCTCTTTCTTCCTGACAGCTTTCTTCTTCAAAACCAGTAAAGGCATCTCCAGCTCAGAGGGAGTCATATAACATAATGCCATCCCAGGAGCAACATCCATCACCTTTAGCATGTTTTATTGAGTAGGTTCAAGTCACAGGCCCTGCCCCCACTCAAGGGGCTAGATTGCACAAAAGTGTGAACACCAGGAGGTAGGGATTGTTGGGAGGGGGCCATCTCAGGGTGTGTTTGCCACAGCAACCATGGTCCCCCCAACACCACCTCACCCCCAACCTCCCATGCTGGGAATTCCAGAATCTCCCTCTGGCAGCCCCATTTGTGTTTACTGGTGGATTTAATGCTGTTTTTCATAGGGTTAGTGATAAGGAGAGAGTTTCTCTTTGACTGCTCCTTCTGCCTTCAGCTCTTCTTCTATGAGGCCACAGCTGCACCATCACAGAGTGCTGACTTCATGGCTTGGCAGCCAGCATCTGTCCTCAAGGTGTTTAGGGATCCTTGCCTCTTCGTCTCCCTTTCAGTCATTCTTCAGTGTTATAATCCTTTCATTGCAAATGAGGAGCTAATTCCCAAAGACAGGAGAATGTCTATTACTTGCTCACTTATTCCTCCAATATGGATTAGATTTTCTTTTCCAGGAAACCATAGGCTGAGATGTAATTTTCCATGGTTCATCTAAAAAAATTGTAATGCCTATTTTTCTTCATTGTTTGTGCTCATTTCTGTTCAGATGTTACTGAGTTAATTATTTGATGAAATGAACCAGAGCTTCCTTTCTTGTTATAGAACTTCTTGTTCCAGAACCAAAGATGGTACTTATTAGATTCTGTGCTAAATATTATTCCCTAGAATTGATCTGGGCTGCGAGTTGCTTACAGACAGACTTGTCTCCCTTTTGTTCATCCTGTGAATGTTGTACTTAATTGATACAGCATTAACTTATTTAAAATGATTACAGTTTTTTAGCCTATTCGTTTGAAATCTCAATGGATATTTCTAACTGATCTCATATCTATATAACCTCTAAATAACCTCTGACATTAGTTTCCATGTAACAGAGCAGCCAGATTTTAGATTTCAGAACCCCCCTCCCTCATCCTGTTTTTTGTTGTTTGAGACCTCGCATGATACTTATGACAGTGTGTCTTGACCAAGTCTTCTTTTTCAAAAGTCTGGAATCACCTGCCTTAGTTCCTCTTAATATGTCTTTTGTTTGGGGAGGAGATGAGAACATGAGTCTAGTCCCTAATAAAGTATTAACGCAAAAAGTTTAGGGTTCAGAATTGATTTATTCTTTTGGATTAGTTTGTACCAGTTGAAATCAGTTTATTCTTTTACATTTTGAATGTGTGCACCATAGTACCCAACTGTTCAGAGGGTATGTTAGAAGAAAAAACAAAAACAAGCTATTGAAGTTTGCTTACCAAATCACAGGTGCACACCTGGGGAAAATCAAATCCTCTGTAATTTTTTTCACTTTTAAATTTAAGGTAAATCATACACAAATTGTTAATGGTATCTTAAATTGCTTTTAATGCTATAGGAGAATCTTAGAAGTTCATTTAAAAGCTGTATGAGAATCTTAGAAGTTCATTGAAAAATGTTGTAGCAAATAAACAATTAGAAACTGGTGAGATGCATGTATCTCAGGAGTTCAGTGTGGAAGTGCCTGCTTTACAGATTTTCTGGACAGTCCTGCTCTCACAGGGGCTGCAGGGGTGCCTCTTTGGTAGAGCAGCCTCATAAGTGGTCCAGGAGGGCTCTGCTCCCTCCTCCACCAGGGCAGATTAGCTGTGTAGATGAGCCGTGGATAAGAAGCCCGGAGTCTTTGTCTCTAATTCCCACTCCCCAGTAACCACCAGCAACCCAGGAGAGACGGTGCATTCAACCAGCCTTTAGCTGCAGTACCAGTCTTGTTGCCTTATACCTGTCTGGGCCAAGGAATCCCCTTCAATTTGTGACAACCACACGCCTTCCACTATAGTGTCATACAGGAGCCCTGCCTGTGAATGGCTGTGAAGTGCTGGAATTTCCTCTTGGTGACCACCTGCTGCTGGCTCTCCTGAATGCGCACAGTTTTGAACTGTGCTATATCACAGGGATGTCTATGTGGTGTTGCTTTGGAAAGCAGCCCCTTTGTGCAGAGATGGCAGGGTGTGCTGAGAAGTCTCTCTGTTGACAGCAGGATCACAGGCCTTCACCTCAAACAGCCCTTTACACCTACACTGTTTTCCCAGAATTTCTTTTAGTTGCTTGGTAGTGTTTATTTAATGCATCTTTAATTTTGATAGATTTTGCCAGATTGCCCTCTGAACGGGTTGAATCCTTTTAAAGTCTTTTAAAAATTATTTTTTAATTTTCTAAGTGATATACAAATATGTCATTTTCATTTAAAAATGAAAAGAAAGAGATTATAACTAAAGTCACTTTCGATCACCACCCCACACACCTACCGTCACCACCCAGCCCCCGTTCCCACATAAGCCCTCCCTGTTCCCCAGGGGTACCTGCTATTATTGGTTTGATATATGTCTTGCTATTTCTTTTTGTGTGGCCTGGCAGATATAAACCAATGGGAAATAGGCATTACTGGAGAGACAGAGAGAGAGAGAGAGAGAGAGAGAAAGAGAGAGAGAGAGAGAGAGAGAGGATAACATATAAGCTATATAGTACCAAACCCATCATTCTATAATGATATGTTATACATGATGCTACATCTTGGAGATCTTTCTATGATGCATATCTGTATATATTACTTGAGTTGTTTCTAGAAACACTTTTTCTTCAGTGCCTTTTTGACATTACTTTCAGGAAAGAATTTGGGTCTTCATTAAAGACCCAGTGATTCTTTGAAAAAAAAAATATCCAACTTGTCACGGTGCCTGACACCTATAACCCCAGCACTTTAGGAGGCCAAGGCAGGCAGATCACCTGAGGTCAGGAGTTAAGGACCAGCCTGTCCAATGTGGTGAAACCCTGTCTCTACTAAAAATACAAAGTTAGCCAGGCATGGTAGCGGGCACCTGTAATCCCAGTTCTTCGGGAGGCTGAGGCAGGAGAATTGCTTGAACCCAGGAGGCGGAGGTTGCAGTGAGTTGAGATCACGTCATTGCACTCCAGCCTGGGTGACAAGAGCGAGACTCGGTCTCAAATTTATGCAAAATATTAATCTGTGTGTGTGCATGCTTTTCTTTCACTTCATGTCTCAGAAAACAGATCTTCACAATGAAGGCTACATCTTGGAATTAGATTGCTGTTCCTCCTTAGACCACCTGACAGACCAGAAGCTCTTACCAGAGTTCATTAAGAAGGTGATCACTGGCCGGGCATGGTGGCCACCTGAGTGAATGGTCGGGGAGCTGGTTTAGGGCAAATCAGCCACACTCGAGAGGCCATGCAGGAGCCATGACCTAAATCTTTGGCAGCCCCACTGGGGAGTGGCCCACTCCAGAACTGACTCTAGAGCAAGGTGGCTAGCCCCTGTTCCCCAGGCATGTAGGAGCCTGGGTCCTGTCTTTTCAAGCTGGAGTGGGGTTAACAACTGAGAGACCTGCAGGCTCGTGCCAGGACTCCTTTCAAACCCTCAAGGTGGTGTGACTTCCCAGATCCCACCTTCCTCTTATCTATGTCTTATCTGCGAATCTTCATTACTGCCAGTCCCCTTCCCTTCCTAGTGTGGGATCAGGAAGTTACCTGGAGCTGAGATGGGAAGGATGAATGGGTGTCTTTGGCGATGTGGCTGTGCTTGGGCAGTTTGGGGAGTCCTCTAAACAGGGAACAGCATACAAGAGGGCCTGAGGCAGGAAGCAGTGACAGGAATCAAAAGAACGTCAGAGGGAGAGTGAAGGTCAGGAGAAGAGGCCAGAGACAGCTGGGACTGGGCTGTAAAAGCAGCGGGAAGCTGTTGAGAAGAATTTTGTAGAACAGCGAAGTGATTGGGTTGTCCCTTTAATGGAGATTTGTTTCTTTCCTGCCACCCTCCCTTCAAGATGTATTGAGTGTTCAGGCTCTGGGGCCTCTAGGAGCAGTCGCTCATGTATAAAGGATCTAAGGCCCATAGACCGGGAGCCAGATGATCTCTGAGGACAGAATTGCTGGTAATTTTACTAGGATGAGGGAGGCTCTTTCTAATCTGGTAGAATTCAGATTATTATTTAAGAAACTGGTGGCGGCGGGGATTAGCTTTTGTTCACCTGTGCATAAGCATGAGAACACAAGTGTTTTTATAACTCATGCAGCTTTCTGTAGAAATAGAGCCATCTCTGGAATGCTGCAAATAATCAACCTGTATAGGGACATCCTAGAGGTGGAATTTACCCTATGATCTGAATTCTGGGAAAAAATCATTGTAGAAATGTCTTGCCTGGGCAACAGCAGGGAGTGTGGCTTTCTCCCACAGGCAGGATGAGGCAATTTCCAACAGCAGGACCTGGGCGGCGAGGCCTGGAGCTAATCCTTCACCGAGGGAACAGCTTTGAGGCACTCCAATATTTTAAGTGCTTGATAGCCACATATGGCTAATGGCTACTATCTTGGACAGCATATTTTTGCAGAATTTATTCACTTAAACAATTTTCAGTTTTTCATGTTTTCTAAGTTGACAGAAAGCATTTTTGATTGAGTCTTCTCAGTTATAAGGGGATGCAGAGCACAGAACAACATATGACATGTTTGCCAAGATCTAAAAGACAATCTCCTATTTTTCCCATGAAAAAATCTTAAAAAGTTTGAGGCCAGCTTTGGCATATAGCATTTTAGGAATATATTTGAAATAATTAATTTCTGCTTATAATATTATTAATTTAGTTGCACATGCATATTTTAAATTATATAAATTGTATAAACTTGGAAATGGTGCTGTTCCCTTGTTTATATCTCATGGAATAATTTTATTTCTGTACTTTTTTTTCACGCATTGTTGCACTTGGTTGGTTTTATCATCACCAGCATGATTTTTGGGGCCATCTAACACAGTTTCAAGCTCATTCTATTTACTATCATCCAAATTGTTTGGGATTCAGCACTTCAAATGTTCATAAATCATGCATCTGTGGAAACTCTGTCCTGAGTCAAAAGTGCTCATTCACATAACATTAGGATAGTTATTTTTTTTCTTGTCCAGCTCATGTCAATAAGAAATCTCCGTAATGGAAACACTTCACATTGCTCTGAAAAAAAAAAAAGAAAGAAAACAGCTCTTTTTATTGAAGATAACATCAATACAGGAGAGTGCATAAATCATAAGTGTACTGCTCAGTGAGTTAGCACAAAATGAACACACCTGGGTAGCTAACACTCAAGTCAACAAATATTAATAGAGCAGGAGCAACAGCTTGAACCCTTCCTGTAGCCACGCCTGCAATTCCCCATTCCCCTTCCAAAGGAAACCTCTATCTAACTTCTAACACCAAAGGGTGGTTTCGCCTGTTTGTATAAATGATATCTTTTGCTCAGCACTGTGTCTGTGAGATTCATTCATGTCACAGTGGTTCCTTTGTGTTCATTTGTGTGTAGAATTCCTGCTTGCTTTTTTTTTTAAGGGACAGGGTCTCACTGTGTTGCCCAAGCTGGAGGCAGTGGTGCAGTCATACCTCACAATAGCCTCAAACCCTGACCTCAAGCCATTCTCCCCGCTCAACCTCCCAAATAGTTAGGACTACGAGCATGCAGCACCACACCCAGGTAATTTTCTAAAGATTTTTTTTATAGAGATGAAGTCATGCTGTGTTACCAAGACTGGACTCAAATGCCTTTCCTGGCCTCAAAGATCCTCCTATCCCAGGCTCCCAAAGTGCTGGGATTAGAGGTATGAGCCACCACGCCCGGCCCTGCATTGCTTTTTTAAAACCATCATTAGGAAGATTGCCTACTATAGCACTTCAAATTGTTTCCCATGTTGTAGGAATTATTTTAAATTGTTCTTAGATTTAATTTACTCCTTAAAAAAATGAAGTCCATCAGCTTACTTCAACAAATGTGCCAAACTACCTCTGATTAATATCTTTTCCCCAATAAGCATCTTGTTATTTAAAATAAAGTAACCAAGAGAGTCCTTAAATTGTGAGAGATCTTGAAAGTGTATACATGTCTAGAGCAATTCCCTCATTTTTTAGAAATAACATTTTAGGGGCTAAAATCCAGGAGATCACCAGGTTATATGTAGGCTGTATAGTGTATGACTGTTTATAAATGGTCTTTTTCACTTTCCAGCTTATGTGCACTGGAGTTTCATGGTGTAGTTACTGAATATTGGTCTCACTCTTGGCAGTGAACATAATGTCTATGGGTGCATCTATCCCTAGATATCTGCTTGGCTGACTCCTTCATCCCCTTCAAATCTTCATTCCAGGTTACTTCAGTGTACCTACCTTCCCACCTATCTTTAAAAGAGCAACTTGCCTCCTGCCACTTCTTACCTTGGTATTTTGGATTCCCTTTAGTATCCTCTATTTTTCTTTTACCTAAAGTTCTTTCATCTCTTAAGACACGTTATTGGTTTTACTTAGTTATTGTGTATATGTTTCTTGTCTTGTCTTGTCTTTTGTTTTGTTGTTGTTGTTGAGACAGAGTCTTGCTCTGTCGCCCAGGCTGGAGTGCAGTGGCAGGATCTCTGCTCACTGCAAGCTCCACCTCCTGGGTTCACACCATTCTCCTGCCTCAGCCTCCCAAGTAGCTGCGACTACAGGTGCCTGCCCCCATGTCCAGCTAATTTATTGTATTTTTAGTAGAGACTGGGTTTCACCGTGTTGGCCAGGATGGTCTGGATCTCCTGACCTAGTGATCCACCCACTTTGGCCTCTCAAAGTGATGGGATTACAGGCATGAGCCACCACACCCAGCGCTGCAACCCTTTTTTTTTTTTTTTTTTTTTTTTTTTTTTTCTGATGCTGAGCTCAGAATGGGTTATTTAGCATGTGCTCAGTGCATGTTTATAGAATGAAAGAGCAAGAACCTGTGAGTGTCCAAGGCTTGCAGGGACTCAGAATTATATGGGAACAGATGCTTTGAATGGTGATGCAATGAAGATGAAGTACAGAGGACTAGGAGACTCTTAACATTTTCTTTTTTTGCAACTCCAAGTAGATTTTTTTCAGTGTTTTAGGTGTTTGAGACTTGTTGAAAAACTTTCCATGGAAGTGACTTGTGAGGGTGGGATATCAACTGTTAATGCTTCATACTCCCTGCAGACACATTTACAAATATGGAATTTGCTGTCATCACAAGGAAAATTTCCAGATTTTTATGTATGATGCATACATATACATATATATGTATTCATGTACATATATTTATATGCACATATAACTTTTATGTATGTATGTAATATATACTTAAATATATGTAAAGGTTTATGAGCTGGAACATGTTTTAAGTTAATTAGGCACCATCAGTAAACAGATGTGGCAGCTGATTGGTTTATAGCACAGGTTGAACTTTCCCATCTGTGTGTTTAGAAGTGCTGAATATCCCCCATCATTGACGCCTCCTGTCTGGGATCCAGCACAGATAATGAGTGTGGGAATCTGAACTAACCTCGTGGCATGTGAGGGTGGGTGTCTCATCTGAGAAATGGAATGTATCTTGTCAGGCAGTTAAGCTGCCTGCTGTATCTTTCCCTGACACTGGAAGGTTTCATTTTTATTGCTTGTGGTGATGTAGAATATTTTTTGAGGGTGTTGAGAATCAGTGTGCAGAATTACAACCCACATAAGGTTTTCCCTTTTCTGCCTTTGGGAGAATTCCCACTCAAAGAACCAGATTACACTAGGATCAGAGTCAGTGGGCTGAAGTTGGCTAGAGGGCACTGCAGGAATGGGAGAAAGCACTTGGACATTAGATACTCAATTACTGAAACTGACTTGCCTCCTCAAGAAGAAATATGGAATTTTAAACCCAATTCCAGAGTATTCTCCTGATTCCAGTGAAAGAAACCCACTACCTAATAACTTAGCCATTTAGGTGGGATGTTTCTCTTTCTGAAATTCTTAACTTTCTTTTCCATAAAACAAAACCTTTGCACTAGAATGATAATCTCTAAGATTGCCTGTAGCTCTGATATTCTGTGAGTTTATGGTCAGTTCAGCTTTTAAATGACTTCCCTTTCATTGTCAAAGAGACTTATTTGATTAATTCAGGTTTACGTTAATGGTGTGCTGAGTTTTGGTGCCATATACCATCATTTTGTGAATTTAACTGGGCATGTCTCTTAGTATTCCCTCTGTTCTTCATCCAATATGGCAATGTTTGTTGATTGATTGGTAACTATTCTTGTCCTCCCATTTAACTAACAACTTTAATGGGAGCTCAGAATAATGGCAACTATTTTTACAACATTTGTTTTCCTTTTAAGATTAAAAATAAACATTGCCTTCTTTCACTCCATGGAAAAAAGTTGTGATAAAAATCTAAACTTTAAATGATTCATTTGTTGGATGACTTTTGACTTCTTATTGTTTAAAAGAATGAGAAAAAAGGCACATTACCATTACAGGGGTGGTACTGTATTCTGTACAAATAACCCAGGATATGTAAGTTGGACAAAAGATTCAAGCATTTTAATAATTCATTATTATAATTTTAGCATAAGAAATATGAGAAAATAGTATAAACTGAGGTTTCCCGTCTAAATCATTACTTTCCAATCTGGATCTTCATTCTGTTAGCCTGATGGTAGCATTCCTAATTTTGAAAAGGTAGCTGGGGGGAGTTGGGTAGTGTGGATGTTAGGGATGAGGGAGATAGAGGCGTTATTCATTGGGGTACTAGTGATGGTCTTGTTAAGTGTGATAGTGGTGATATTGGTGGGACAGTAGGGATGTTATTGTGCAACAGCAGTCAAAGGAGCTTTTAGAAAGAAAGAGTCTTCAGAAAGAAAAAGGTTGTCACATGGAGGATACAGGGAATAGAAGTCAGATGGAAAACACCTGAAGAGATGGAAAAACTTTAAAAGAAAATGTTTAAATATATTCCTAGTGGAAATAAAGTTAGATTTTTGATGGAACTATTCATCATTTCGTTTCCAAAATTGTTTCATATATATATGTGTGTGTGTGTGTGTGTGTGTGTGTGTGTGTATTTTAAGTTAAAAGCACAGGAGTCTCTGTGACCCTTTCTGACTCTGATAGTGCCTGGGAATGTGGACATCTTTCTGTGTCACTTTTGAATAGTAAAGCATCATTATTAATTTATGCTCTGCACATTTGTAACTCGTGATAAACAATAATTAAGCCTAAGTTTGCCTACAGGTTTGCTAAGCCAATTAATAATGTAAGCCATTCTGCAGGGGCACTGTTTATTTACCTCAAGGGTACCTGCTTGTTCCAGCAGTTTGTATGAACCATCACAAACTGAGAGGCTAATTACAAATTGTTTTACGACTTAATTAAAGCAGATCTCTGAAGGCTCACTTCTTGAGAGTTTTTGTGTTAACCTTGTTTACATTTCTGTGTATTTGAGAGTGCTGCTAACTGCATCTTTTATAAAGGATTATAGATTTTACATTTTACAAAATTATTGCAGTCTGGTATTTCCTATGGTTACAGATTAGTGATGATTACTTTATTTTAGAAGATGTCTATTGCTGTGTAAAAAATCACCCCAAAACATTTTGGCTTAAAACAATAACAGTTATTTATTTTGCTCACAGATCTGCAACTTGGGCAGGACTTGGCAGAGGCACCTAATCTCCATTTCTCATGGTATCAACTGGTAGTTTGGTGGTAGCTAGGGGATCTGCTTTCAAGATGAAACACTCACATGGCTGGCAAGTTGGTGTTTACTGTAGGCCTCTCCACAGACTGCTATTCCTCAAAACATGGCAACTGAGTTCTAAGAGCAAACATCACAAGAGAAGAAGGGAAAAGTTCATGGAATGTTGATGACTATCCTGTGGAAGTCACATAATGGTCTTTTTCAGCTACTCATTGGTTGAGGCCATCATAAAGACCTATAGTGGTTCAAGTAGAGGGGACATGGGTTCCAACTCTTGATGGAGGAATGGCAAAGTTCTAGCAGACCATGTGGAACAAGAGATATTGTTGTGGCCATCTTTGGAAAATAAAGTCTGCCACATACATGAATTCCGACATGCTTATGTTCATTTCTGGTTCATTCTTCTGCTAGGAGAAAACTTGGAGAATATGTAAAAAATAAAAATGAAGGCAAGAAGTGGAAACAAGTTCAGTATTGAATATAAGAGTTATTGGCCATTGAAGATAATCTTTAAATTTATAATTCTCAGTAGTTGTTAATGTAAAGCTGCTCCTTCCCTCCTGCTCCAAAAAAACCCCACCTCCTATTTGTTACTCAGTGGGATCACATATCTTCATGTGCTCTGAAACTCTCTCAAATCATTTCCATTTTCCAAAAAAAAAAAACCATCCCATGGTTCTCCAGGGTAGAGAATGTTTTATTGCTCCAAAAGAACAATAAAACATTATTTTATTTTTTTTAGCACATGGTAATGAAAACCATTCCTAAGTACTCATTTACCATGGGAGTTTCAAATGTCGTTAGGACCCTGTTATATTTTTGTTACTCTGGAGTCATGGGAATTGAAAAGTTTTTTTTTAACAAAGGGTTAAAACTAGGATGACAATACCCAATGGCACCATGTCAACATTTTGTTATAGTGCATTTCATTAATGCTTTGGAAGCCTGTGTATATCAGGGAATGGTGGGGGTAAAAAAGTCATGAATACTGGATGTTAAAGCAGTGTGGTGTGAAGAGAAACGTCTGCTCCTGGTTAAATTCTTTAAACTCATTGATTCACTCATTTAACTGTTGTGCTGAGCTTTGATTTCAATGGAGACTCTAATGCTGGTTTTCCAGAATGTTCCTGGGAGTCTTAATGAACCTTTGAGTTCTTAATGACAGGCTTGTAATTCCAAGTTCACTGGTATTACCAAAGTATAAAACAAGGGTTGTCAATCTCAGCAACTCCAAAATGCTGTTTTGTTTTGCTTTGTTTTGTTTTTTGGGACCTATATTGCCTCATCTTCGTGCCTTTGTGAAAGAAGGCCTGTGGGTATGCCTGATTATGAGGGATTTTTTACCTGATAAGAAACACTGATGTTAACAAATTGCTTATTGCTGCCTCTTTCTTTCTCCTGAGGGGAAGACTGACTTGGTTTCCTAAGAAGTGGACTGAAAACCCAAGAACCTCACATTTTAACAGCAATGCTTTCTTGAGACATGTCTCTGAAGCTGCAACCCTGTTAATGTCTCTAGGCCTCAGTTTTCTTCACTGTTAAGATGATAGGAGTAGCAAATGAAGTGCAAGTTTTCTGCATCTCAGATGAATATAATTTCAAAACATTATTCCCCCCAGATGGCTGTTTCTTGAAATTGTAGACTCATAGATGTTTCCACTTGGCGGTAACCTCAGATACTGCCAATTTAATCTCATACCTATTCATTCCTTTAATAAATGCCCACTAAGTACTTACTGTTTACCAGGAACAGTTCTAGATGCTGAGGACCAAGTAGGAGGCAAAATTGACAAAATTTCTGTTCTCATAGAGCTCTCATCTAGCTAGGAAAACCAGTTGTAGGGAGATGGAAGGGGGAACAGCACCCCAAACAGGGATCTTCAAAGTGCTGAGGCCCCCTGATGGGAACAAACTTTGGTTAAAAAAAAAAAAATAAGACAAAGGCTTGTGAAGGTGTCAGGAGTTTGGGATGTGGCCTGAGAGGTGGGCAAGGCCCAGTTCAGGGGCAAGTATTGTTGGACTCTGTGGGCCAACTTCAGTTTGGGAATGTTATTCTAAATGGGACACTATTGAAGAGTTAAAACAAGCAGCCTTAACTGGCTCACATCTTTCAGAGACCAACCTGGCTGCTGTGAGGGCTGTATGTAGGCCAGCAGGCAGGGAGAAAACCAGCAGGAAGAAAACCAGGAGCAGGAGGGTAGTGGTGAGGCCAGGGAAGAGCATCTCCAGGGGGAGAGAATGCATGGGGTGCCACAGAGGATGGGGTAGTGAGGGCTGAAGATCCTGTGAGATTTGGCTTCATGGAGGTCACAGGAGGGCTGTGGGGAGCTGCCTGTGGGAGGCAGTACAGAAGCCAGAGATTGAGTGGAGGTAGAGTCAGTGGGGCAGAGGTGGGTGGCCAAGGCTTACTTTCTTCTGTTGTTGGTTGGATTCTTTCCTCTTTTTCTTTTTTTTTTTTTTTTTAAGATAGCTTGAATTTAGTTGTATGCTGAGTGGAAGGAGCCAGGAAAGAGAGAGAGAGAAAGAGAGAGGGAGAAAGAGAGAGAGAGAGAGAGAGAGAGAGAGAGGGAGAGAGACAGACAGACCAAGGATATAGAAAAGAGAAATGATCTGATCCTAAGTAGAGTTGGGTCTTCCAGGGTGGCAGAAAACGTGAGCCCCATGGCCTAGGTTTTGACTTAACCAGATCCCACTGATGATGGGGACAAAGAGTGGAGGGCCAGAAGAGGACATGGGGATGGGCTTCTCAGCTTCTGACCTTGATTTTTTCTTTAAGTCATCTCTGGAGAATGGTAGGAAAGTGGGGAGAGGGTGGGGTCCAGGAGAAGGGAGAAAGACACAAGAAAGCTGGCGAAGCACAAGACAGCTGGTCAGGGATGAAGCAAGCCACTGCAGGATGGCCATGTGGCCTCAGCCTCAATGGGAGACCTTGAGTCTTCTTTCTTGTGATCCTAGGTGGATTGGATGGATGCGACATTTGTAGGGGGTGTCAGACAGAGAAAGCGAAGGATTTAATAGCAGGAGAGTGATGGAAGCAGTGGGTCATGTGCTGGACAGGAAAGAGGAGAAGGAACAGTCCTCTGAGTGCCTCTTAAAGCAGCTTTCTGGGTCTTTGCTGCTGATCATGTTGAACCAGGTGATCATATATCCCAGCTTGCTCAGACAGTCCCTGTTCATGCCTGTCATCTGAGCATGATTATTATTTCACCCTTTGGTTCAATTGTTTGGCAAATCAGTGTGCCATGGTATATCACAGACTGCTGCCTCTACTTTTGGTCTCCCATGGACTTCTCACATCCCTTCCCATAGGAAATGTAGGCTCTTCTGACCTTTCCCGTGAGCTCTGCACTGACTTCCAGGCCCCAGCCATGCCCCTTGCCTCCTGTCTCCTCACTGTCTTACCAACCCTAACTTCAATCCATACCACATCCTGTGGGCAGATTCATTTTCCTTAGGACAGGCTTAATTATGTCACTTTGCTCAGAAGTCATGATGGCATCTCATCACCTTCAGAATTAAAAGTTCATACTCTAAAGATGCAAGACTCTGCCATCTAGCCCTGGTATTTCCCAGTACAGCTTATGGTGTAGGAATATTGTGAATACAGCACTGAGTAGTGTAACAGGTAGTAACACAGACTCTGGAGCCAGCTGCCTAGGTTTGAATCCTACTTGCCCTTTACTAGTTGTCTGACTTTGGAGAAGTTGTCCAACACCTCTGTGCCTCAGTTCTTTAATCTGGAAAATAGGGATAAAAATTAATACTTATTGTTATTGTTATTATAAGGATTAAGTGAGTTAATCCATGAACATCCTTTAAAACAGTGTTGGGCATACAATAAACTCTCAGTAAATTATAACTGCAGATTTTCAGTGAAAGCACACTGAACATTTGCTCTTCCCTGAGTAACTTCTGAGTCTTTTTCATTTTTTCACTTTTGCTAGCCCTGTTTCTCATAGGAATCCTTCTCCCAAAACATTTCCGTATGCACAGATTTTACCTGTGGATAAGGTTAAATTCATGGTTACCAATCATGGATTTTGGCAGCCACAGAACTAACAGACTGGGAAGACTGGCACACATTCTTTGACTCCCATAGGACAGTGACAAAACTCTCTTTAAATGCTTTGCTAACATAATGTTTTGATGTTTGATTAATCCATATCCTTGTAGATGTGCAGCAGTATTTAATGGAAGCCTGGGTGTCTTGCAACCTTGGACGGGGGTGGCAGATTCTCCTGCCAATTCTCTTCCTAAGTGGTCCTATTTGAATGATGGTAGTTCTCATGAGCCAAGGTCTTCTTTGCTCCAGAATCCTGTTCTCAGCACAGACAACCACACATATGTTGAATTCTGCTGATGGGCATACACTGGGAGACATTGGGATGTTCTGGGGCAAGGAAAATCTGCCAGAGGTGACTCCTGACTGCTCCAGCATGTTGAATCTTTGTACTGTGCCCTCCTGGTCTGGACATGCATCTACTGTGACAAACTACTCTGTGTAGTGGAATAGTTGGGAGTTGCTTGGTGATTCCAAAAAGTGCTCTTAATGAACAATGTTGAGCAGACCTGAAGGAGATATGCACAGATATCCTCTGTAAAGTAGAGGAATGCTGTATCTATGCAGACAAATAAACTAGAACACAGACACTGAAACCATTTTGATGAAAATAGATGTGGACTTACTTGGGTAGTTTTGTTTGGCATAAATACCAGTTGCCTTATATAACATTTGCCTTATATCCCCTTCTTCATTTTAGTATGTGTGAATCATGAGCAAATTTCAGATTTTCATACTAGTTGATGAATGTACGTGATAGATATTTAAATATTTATTGTGCCTGCCTTGAAATTCTTCTGTTGAGAGATTCTTTGTTCCTGCAATCCTACTGGATGATTTCCAAGGAGCCATCATGTACCATAGTCAAAGCCAGTTGGCCCAGAAGTGGACATCTGACATAAGCTGGGCCAATCAGAGCCCTTCCCTGGGATATATTGCTTTGGATAATCAGAAAGTTTAGACATTGTACCTCCAGTGATTAAGCTATTAGCAGGAAAACTCAGAAGGTGGCAATGGCCATATTTTCTGCTACATGGAAAAAATTAGCCCCAGATAAGAAAAAAGAATGATGCCAAAAGATGAAAGTAGGAATGAAACTTGGAGCAAGTGTGCTGACAGTGCTGAGACACAGTTCCAGGTCTTCTTAAGTCCAGCTCTGGCCCCACCGTACTGACCACTTGACTGTTCTTGGAGAGACCATTGAGTTGTTCCTCACAGGCAGACCCTTCCTTGTTCACTTCCCATGTATATCTGTGATTTAAAGTTTTGACGCTGGATTGGAGTGTCCTGGTAGGTTGGGTTTCAGGGAGCACTAAAAGCCAGCTAAAGATCTGTGGGGGATGTGGCTTTACTGACCTCTCTCAGTAATTCCTAACTCCCATGCACTTTACCAATTCCTAACTCCCATGCACTTTATGTTCCCTGAATGGTGAAATTATAGGCACAGTCTCAGTGAAAGAACTGAGTCCATTAACACAGATAATGCAGGCAAATGGAACTCCTTTGATCAGAAATCCCTGTCCTGAACAGATCTACCAAAGGATGAATCTGTTCTCTGCTTCTACTAGAATGCTGGGTCCCACCTCTTTCTTTCATTTTTTTTTAGGTTACAATTTGCTGAGTTCTTACAGTATTTCTCAAGCTCCCCTCTTATCACCCCTAATAGCAGAGGAGAATAAACAAATACCTCTTCCCCTCAACTCAGCCCTGCCAGGGATCTTAGGACAAGCTGTGGTTCCTCAAACTGAGTATAAACAGTTTGAGAAGGGTAGAACAAACTCTTCAGAGTACCTCAGTTATCCCTTGAGTAAAACCAATGCACATTAAATGCAAGAAGGAAGGGATAGTGCCTGTGTGACTCATTGCTGTTTGCCCAGAAGCTAGTGCCCAGCATACAATTGGTATTCAGTAAGTAGTTACAGAATGAATAAATGAATATAAGTATCTCCATTTTATAGATGAAGAAGCTGAAGCTAATATAAATCAACTAGTTTGACCAATAATATAACTACCGAGTAACAGAGCCAGGTCCAAAGCTTTAAGTCTTCAAATTCTTTGTCCCAGCGCGGATTCTAAGAACTCTCTGTTGCTAAAAGAGAAACAGCAGGAAGTTTACATGATCTTTCCTCGTGGCACCTAAATGGAGGTAAACATCCAGCAATGCCTGGCAAAGCTTTCAATTCCTGCGGCTAAGTGTTATCATGTCAAAACTAAAGGCAACTTCAGATGTGAGCTCAAACCTGTGTTATTTTTGAGCCTCCCTTTTCAGAAAGCTGTAAAAGAGTGTAGGTGACAAGATGGGAAGGGTTGTGTGTGTCTGATAAAATATTCACTATAAAGACTCACATGTAACTGCAACCCAGAATGGCATTTTTGTGTCTGTTCTTGACATCTAGGGCATGCCTGTGCTGTGTGCTCCCTGCATGTGCTGTGTATGTTGTCACCTATCAGTGGTGCATGCGTTATGAGGGAGGGCCAGAGTGGGCAGTGGTCTGATCTAGGGTATATGACTATGTGGATGTGAGTCTTGGACTTTATACTATATTATATGCCTCTGAAATCACTGGCAAAAACTCTATTTTTCAGCATTTTATGTAATTTATTATGCTCTATAGCTGAGCTACCCAAGACAACTTTCTGAGATGATGGAATATTCTACATCAGCCACAAGTGGCTGGTGGGCACTTGAAATGTGACTCATGTGTCTAAGGAGTGGAATATTTAAATTTTATTTTATTTAAATTAATTTAAATTTAAATAGCCACATGTGGCTAGTGGCTGCCATATTGGACAGCCCAGCTCTCTATTTTTGTAGCAGTAAGTTCCTGTTTCCCAGGATTAATTCCTAATTACAGGCATTTCATTAACTTTATTATATAACTTGTAGAAAATAAATCCATCAGTTATAGATATAACCTCCCTTACCTGGTATGTAGCAGTTCTCCTCAAAACACAATGGGGGAAATTTCCTTTACCTGGGCAACAGTGATGGCTAAAAGCCTTCCTGCCACACTTCAGCCTCTCACGTAGGAACTGGAATCAATACCTGATGAGGTCCTAGTTGTCTTGTTTCTGTTTGGGGCTCACTGTCATTTGGGAGCCTGTACCCATCTTTTATTTCAGGCCCAGTCAGGTTTACATTTAGAGACCTCCATCAGCTTGTCCTGTGCTATATTATTCCCCCTACCTCCTGGTGGAGAGAGAGAAAGTTGATTATTTTAAGGAATTGGCTCATGTGATTGTGGGGTCCAAAAAGTCTGACATCTGCAGGGCAGTCCAGCAGACTGGAGATTCAGGTAAGGATTGATGTTGCAGTCTTAAGTTTGAAGGGGGAAAACTCAGGGAGAACTTCTGTGTTGCAGTCCAGAGGCAGAATTCTTTTTCCTTTGGGAAATCTCAGTCTTTGCTCTTGAAGACTTCACCTGATTAGATGAGACCTAATAATAGAGGAATTCAGTTTACCGAAAGTCAGCTGATTGTAAATGTTAATGACACATTTAAAAAATACCTTTACAGCAACATCTAGACTAGTGTTTTACCAAACATCTGGTCACCATAGTTCAGTCAAGTGGACAAAAAATTAACTGTGATACCTCCCTCCTTAGAGTCAGACAAAACAGTCTTGGAAGTGTCTGTCTCTTTACCCATGCTATGTACTACAGGCTATGGGCACTCTAATTGACCTGTGAGCATTGGGCTTCTCTCTTCCTTTTCCTATGTTCCATATAGCTTTCATTTTTACTAAATCCAATCTGTGTCTCACTTCCTTCTAACTGATTTCTCACCCTGATTGATACGCATCCTCTAAAGTACAAATATGTATATTTACATGCACATAGAGTATATATTGCAGTCATCATTAGTAACATGGTATTCATTTTAGATGTAGAAACAGATAATTCAGCCTTGAAATCTAATGTCATATTGTTATTTTTAATTAAAAAATTAATTTTATTAAAAATAAAAGTGATTCCTCAAATATATAACCAAAGATTTTTGTACAATGAGTTGAGACTTTTTATATAACTAAATTTTTTAAAAAAGAAATATTTTTCACATTATGATTCCTGAATACAGTTACAGTGGAGCTTATCCTTATTCATTATAGAGCAACTAACTGAAGTTGTGCATCAGTCAAAACAGCCATATTTAATTTTCAGTGCCTAAACCACAAATAGTTACTCCTTTAAGTATTTGGGGCAGAACGTTTCTTACAGACAGCAGAAATGAGAAGAAGGTGGGTGAGGGTGTATTTCAGTTTAAACAGATATCCAGCCCATCCAACCTGATGCCTCTTCAATGAAGAAGTAATTCCACAAACATTGGGGGATAAACGTGACAGGGTGTGGTGAACAGATACACAGGATTAGAGAAAGGAAAGAAGATACTGTGATTCCAGTTGGAGAGACCAGATTGACAGCGGGCCCGTCAACTGTGATCATCTACTTTGTAGGTCTGAACTTCCAAGGAAAGCCAGGGCTAGGAGTTCACACTTGGAAATAATTAACATCGGATTTGTGGAACCCATGTGAGTGCAGGAGGTCACCAAGTATACAGTGGAGGAGAGCTGGTGGCTGGGGAACTCTCATGAATACATCACAGGCCCAGCACCATGATAAACATCAGACTGGCTCAGTGAAGGTTATAAATGCATGAATGAGAAGCAGGATTTAATTTAGCCATCAATACACAGTCAAATCACTTTCTGAAAAAGAGGAAAGTGTCTATACTATGGTAAGACAGAACCACAAGAGTCGTGTCTCCTAGGTCTAGCCAAATATTGATCTTCATATAATCTAAATGTGGTCTTCTAGTTAAAAAGACTACTCATCCTTTCTGTTTAACAATTTGGCAGCCTCTACCAAGCCTTTGAAAAGTTAATATCCCTTCACTCATTAATTCCACTTCCAGGAATCTATTTGAAGGAAATAAGCAGAGCTACAAATATGCTTCCTCTTCTTGGGGGTGTGAATTTCCCTGGAACACATGGGATAAGGGCAGCATTTAACTCTGACATCGTTTGAAAGGTTTTGATCCTAGGCAGCACTATGGTGTAAGATACAATATTTGCACTGAAGTTGAAGGTTAAAGATGAGCATTCGAAGAAATCTTAGTTTTCCCTCAGACTCCCGCTCTCCTCTGTTCTTGAAGTTATGACTCTGGTGGGACAGTTGGATATGCTGGCCTACATGGTGAAGTCAGAGTTTTTGTGGGCATGAATACAAGTCCACATGTGTGTCAGTCCTTGTAATGTCTAGTCAAGCCTTATTTCTGGGCTTCTGTTGGCTTCTCACGTCATGTTCCTGAGATATGTCTAGAAATTTCCTCAACACATCAGGCTGTTGCATACTGTCAAGCTTTTGCCTGTCATGATCCATCCTTGCCTTTACATGGATTGCCCTCTCCTTTTCCTTTACATACCTAGTGAACTGTTATTCGTTCCTCAAAGCCTTCTGCAGAGTAGATCCCAAATATGTTTTACCTAGCGTGACATTTTGAAAAAAAAAATGGATTTGAATGCTTTAAGGTGAGGCATACACACTCCAGTTCTGCCACATTTCTCACTCTTCCTTTTGTGTTACACCGTGTCATTTGTTACATCCCTGATCTACTCTGAGAAATTTTCTCAACCTCCCCTTCAGGCAGAAATGATCACCATTGTCACTGTCATTTATATACCTTCATATCCATTACTATATTTTCCTCTATGAGTAATTTTTACAATATTTACTTTTTCACTACTAAAATAACATCCATGCCCCTTAGGTAAATTTTGAAAATTACACAGTAAAAGAAAAAAAATCAATCATAGCCCAACTCCCTAAATACAGTGCTGTTTTTGTTTTGGTGACTCTTTTTATGCATAGTTTATGTATGTATATTACATAGTTGTCATAATAAAGTCAATGAAGTTTAGAATCTTGACTTTTTACATACATGTCATTATGAGCATTATTGTTCCAAGATAGTGTAAATATTTTTAAAGTCTGTTCACAATAATTCATCAAATCTTCTTGAGGGTTAGGGATCCTATTTTATATTTCTGATACCTAACCACTGTGTTGGTCTGGGCCAGTGTATGGGGCTTATTAACTGTTGAATTCTAGAGCAGAAAAATGATGTCTCCATCCCTACCTTCAAGAAGCTCATTCTGGGAGAGAAGACATACTTATTCATCCATTATTTAATGTATTCATTCATTCAACGGATATTTATTGAGGACCTGCTATATGTCAGACATCATTCTATTACTGAGGATGCAGCAGTGTAAAATACCCAAGCCCTCATGAGATGTGTATTCTAGACACATTGATGATTCTCAAACATCAGGCTGCATTGGAGTCACTTGGAGGCTTGTTAAAACACCTATTGCTAGATCCCACTCTCAGCGTTCCTGACCCAATAGGTCTGTGTTAGGGCCTGAGAATTTGCATTTCTAACAGGTTCCCAGGGGATGCTGATGCTGTGGTCTGGGGACAAAACTTTAGAACCCCTGGCCTAGAGGATAAATTTGCAGTACAAAATGGCAAGGGAATATGGTTGTCTGGTATGTTGTGGGGGAAGAGAAGATGTCTGTGTCCAAGCCTTTCCAATTCTTCCAGTCCCAGTGAGGAAGGGGAGAGCTAGGATAATGCCCTGTTTCTGGAGTCCTTGTCTCTTCAGTCTAGATGACTCAGCAGTCTCTGCAGGGTTGCAGAAGCCCAGGACTGATAAAGAGAGAAGTTAAGATGCCGTCTTTATGACCCATTCTTTGGTGCACTTGCCATATGTAATATCTAAACTAAGCTTCAGTGCAACTGCAAAATAAGTGTGTTTTCACTCATTTTGTACATGAGAAAACTGAGGCACAGAAAGTTTATATAATCTACTCTGCTTCCCCAAGATGTTGAGTTACACATCTGGGGCTCCACATCAGGCCTTTTCAAAAGCCTTTAAACTTCATGCTATTTCCATGAGTCTAGTTGAGCCTGGCCTACGGTTGAGTCCTCAGTGGAAGCAGTTATTAAAATGCTTCAGTAGTCACAGCTGTTTCATCTGCATTAAGATAGTAGTAGCAGAAGCTAGTGCAGGTGTCTCCTTACTTCATTTAGGGCTGTAAAACCCATTGCCTTGCTCTTTTGGCATATGTTGCCAGGAAGCTCAGAAGTATGCTTTGCAGGTGGTGGATTTCCTCAGTCTCCAGAGTTCTTTGGTATAATTATCTCCCTGCTATTTTATTTTAAAATTTGTGTTGCTGTGCCTTCTTTTAGGAGCTTTATAGAATATATAAGCTATATGGAATATATGAGCATATATATATTTTCTTTTTATATGAAACCCTTTTGAAATTGGTGGATATCATAGATTAATGAGAGAAAAAATAAAATTTCTGAATGGAATAGATGGTTGTAAGTTTTTTGTGTGCTTTGTTTTGTTGTTTTTTTAACTTTTGAAGCATGAATTGAGCCAACTCTGGGTGTATGAGTGGACGCAAACATGCCCAAAGACATATATGTGGTTGATGCCTTGAGATGTATCCAATAAGTCTTGTGATTAAAAGAATGAACTTTGGCCCAGGCCTGACCTGGTTTTGTACTCTGGCTACTCACTGCTTGCTTTGTGACATTAATGTCTCTGGGCCTCAATGTCTTCATCTGAAATGGAGATAGTGATACCATGCAGAGTCATTGAAGGATGAAAGATTTTGTTGTTTTAACTTACGTAAAATGCCTAACTCAATGCCTAGATATAGTAGGTCTACACTAGACAGTAATTACTACTATTGTTATTTTATGTCTAGCACAGGCTAGGATTTAAAGAAAGACTGGACTGCACATTTGCAGCTTCAGTTTTCCAAGATGTGCAGTGTGGAACAAAAATGACTTTCTGTTTAATGTCAGGGTGGTTCTTCTGAGAAGAGCTGTCAGGGCTGCTTCTCCTTTAGAGAGAATAGCTCCATCCTGGTGAAACTGACTCTCTAATGATGATAGATTAACACTGCAGAGGCCTCAAGATTTTCTGAATTCATCTGCTTATGGGTTGGTGACAAAGACTTAGACAGCTCTGAGGTCTGCACCGCCTTATTTATGTGTAAAGTGACTTAAGCATTCGTGCCTGGAAAGTCCCCTAAATCCTACCTTCTGATTTGGTCTGGTTCTTGCTTGATTTTATTAGATTTTATTCCTTTCAATTTTCCTTTCAAACTTATGAATTACACTCAATCTAATTGCATAGGGGTATTTTTTAGGGAGAGGGAGAGTTCAAATGCCTCAGCATTCCAGGTGGGTGTTCATCTCCTATCCTGTTGGTACAGGGAATGAGAAGGTACCATCACCTGGCTGCTGGATGGTGTGGACTAGGACTTTGAGGGCCAAGAGTCAGTCTGTAGCTGTGGGCTAGGCATGATCTGTGGGCTCCTTTGACCTTCCCTAAGCCTAACAACACCAGGGAGCAAGGTGTCCATCAGATGGTGCATCTCGTGGAGGATGTGGCCACAGCCTTGGCACGGGGGTGATTTTCTCCACTTCTGCCCCTCTTGGCCAAAACTATTGCCCAAAAAGGGAGCTCTTTGGGTCTAAAATGCCATCTGGTCTTTGTATATGATTATATAGACAAGCTGTAGTTACACAATAGCCTGATGGGCAGGAAGTCAGTGATTCCTCTGAAAAAAAGTAACAACAACAAAAAAACACTCTACCAAAATGAACTTCCTCTTTCAAACTCTTTGTTTAGAACTTTTCCAGCCTCTTTAAAAAAAATGGCTAATAAGGACTACTGCAGTGTTTCAAAATGGTGATTTCAACCCTTCAAACCCAATGCTTTATTTTTCCATCAGACAACATATTAAAAAAACAAAAAACAAACAAAACAAAAACAAAAACAAAACAAAAAAAGCCTATCCTCTTCAGACCAGGATGTGGCGGCAGGTGTCCCTGAGGACACGGGGCTCCTGCCAGCTTGAAATTCTTCATGTGCACCTGAAATAGTTTCGCAGGCCTCAGGGAGGCTCTTTGCACTCTGCACATGCCCTTTTGATAGACGATTCCATTCACTTGGTTCCCTTCCTTTTGTTTGCCGCACAGATCCAGGAGGCTGCAAGCCAGGGCCTGAAATTCATTGGTGTTATGCCTCAGTACCATTCCCCTGTGGATTTGGCAGGCAGCAGTGCTCCGGTGTCTACTGCCAACAGCATGGAAAATGCCAGGGATGTAAAAAAAATGCACATGGGGATCATGTGTCACTGGAGAATGAGAAACCAGGGACTAGGAACATGTGTGGTGCCCTGGCTGGGAGAAACCAAATCCCAGAAACTGCTCAGGCCCCAGAGGGGAGGTACCCATTGCCCAGAAGCCCAGCTCACCCCCTGGAGAGGGAGATGGTGGACAACTTTCACCACGTGGGGTGAGCAAGACACTGGTTGACCCAGATGGCGACTCATTGGAGGTACATGAAGAGCCACTCTCAGGGAGTAAGTATGTCAGCACTGGGAGTTTTGACCCACTTAAAGAGTGACTAACAGCTTTTCATTAATCCCCATGGTATCTCAGAGAAAAAGGAATGGAATTAGAGTGTAGAGATAGCAGTCCATCAAATAGGAGAAATTTTATCAAGCAGTTATCTGGGCCACCTGACTGTTTACTTACTGAAGTTATGATTTATGGAGAGAACAGAACCACATGAAATTGACTTGCAGTGTGCTCCAAAATGTCATGTTTGAAGTGGATTCTAGACTCTTGAGTTCTTTTACCTCCTGTGCTCTCAAAATTTCCCTTGAATCATCCAGCTTTCACACAGAAAGTGGCAGCCTGCCAGGCACCAATGACAACCTACACACAGCTTGTTAAAATACCTGCCTAAAGTAAGATATTTTACAGCTGTGCAAACTGGGATTTAGAGAGGAAATTTGTTGCCCAGTCTGGAAATAGGAAGATCCGGCATATGAACCCAGGTGGACTTACCCAACATCCCTTCACGCCTTTCTACTTGTTCTTTCCTGTGTGATAGACTAAAATAATTTACTGAGGTCCTCAACAAGATTTATAGGGAACAAAGTTTCCCTCTGTTTCTCTGTATTGCCTTTTTCTCTACTTTCTTCAGGAAATCTACCATCCATATTTCCCCTTTCTCCAGGAAATCTAGCATCCAGTCATTTCCTGCGAGTAAGGTATGTAGACGAGCCATATGACCCCTTCTAGCCTTTGAAAGGTGAACAAGTATGAAGACTGACAGAAGACACCCAGAGGTTAGGAGGGCTTTCTCTTTAGGCCTTTCTGGATGTTCTCTCAGGTTAATATTGTTATTATCATTTATTTACTAATTCTTGAAATTAGCCTCTTACAAGTGATAATGAACAGGTAGTGCTTCAAGAAGGGAAAACAAGGAGAAACAGTATGTTTTGTTACTTCCAAACTTCTTGAGAAGAAAATTATGGGATGGTTAATTCCAGGGGCCTATTTGCAAAATTGATTTAGAGGGAGATATTGGAGCTGCCTCAGCTGTGTGATATAGTAAGACTACTGTTTAATCAAGGCCTTGAGCCTTCTTAAGTATGCGCAGAAATAGAGCCATTCATTTGTGTGATTTTTCACTGTTTGAAGCAGGTGCCTGCTGCACCTCATGGAGTAGCTGAGCATGCATTTAAGCCCGGTGTGTCCTCCTCATGAATGCTCAGGCCTTAATCCAGAAACCTCCAGCTTCTCAGGAGATTGGGCTTGATGTGTGTACTCTGAATCTTGAGCAAGAAGATGGGCCTCATTGGAGCCCTTCTCTGCAGTCCAGGACTGTAGGAGGGCAAGGGTCAGGCCAAGCAGAGGCCCCCAGGAGAAAAGGAGGGAGTGACAGAGTGGTGGGGAACATAGTGCTCAAAAATCTAGCCTCTGTTTACATTCCAACCTGCCTTCCATGCCTCAATTTCTCACCCTGTGAAATGGGGATAGAATGATGGTTTCTCATGGAAAGGTTAAAGAAGACATATTTAAAGCACTTGGCAATGCTTGACTCATGAGTATGAGCTGCTACTATTGGGGTACAGGCTCAGTAGTCCTGACACTCGACATCGACCTCTCATGGAATCCTGGCTTTGAGAAAGGAGGCAGTGACTACTGAGGTTTCCTCAGGATTTTTCAGATTTTTACTGTGTTCTAGAGCCCATCTTCCTCTGAGACTCCTTCCAGACCTCCTGCCTTCTGTGAGAGCATTATTCACTGGGGAGACTTGTCCTAGGAACCTTCCCAGGTGCCCAGGACCTTTATGCTATCCTGTGGCCACTCACTTCCCTCACCCAGAATCTCTCCCAATGGCTGAACACACAGAAAAATTGACACCCACAGCATCTTGGCCACTATCCCGTCACCCAAGTCCCCATTCTCTCCTGGAAAAACAGACCCCGCTAGGGAGGAATGGGTGAATGCATGTGTTTCTGGAGGCGGTCAGCCCACCAGTAGATGAGAATTTCAGCTCTGCAAGTATAGGCCAGGGGGAGGGATTAAATCCTCCTTCGAGCCCATTCTCCCTAGGCAGGTAAACACTGCCTGTCTCTATGCATAAAGCAGCCCCTTTATCTCTCTGCTCAGGCTGCAAATCTCTGAAATTTAGGCAGCTCACTGTTGTCCTTTTTTCCTCCTTTGGTGGAATAAATAAGCCTTTGGGTTTGATCATTTCACATATAAGCCTTTCAGTGGTCATGATGGCAGTCACCCTCCAAGTGCACTATTCTATGTCCTTCTCGTGTCATCTCAGTTACTCCTCACAACAGCTTTATGGCAGAAGATGCTATTATCATGTCCGTTTCACAAGTAGGGGGTGTCACCTTTTGTGGCCCCATTCAGTTAAATTTCTTTATCACAGCTTGAGCATTTGGCCTTCTTGAAGGCTGAATGTCCAGGGACCCTGTCCCCCTTGGTTGTGACCCTCATCTGACCCCCAGCCTCTCTCTTAATCTTTCTCCTGGGAAATCCACTCACCATCACTCCCCAACAGTCACAAAGAGCTACCCCCCACCGCTGCCCCCAGGCACCCCTCCCGGCTGCCTGCTCAGCTCCCAGCTTGTCTTCTCTCCGAGCCCTTTAAGGAGGGAAGTGTTTTTACTCCTCTTCTGCCAGGTGGGCTTAAACAGGCAATCACAACAAGACAATTAAAAAAAATCTGGAGAGAGTCTCCCTCCTCTTCCCACCTTCTCCTCTGTTAACTTATTTTCTTTACAGCAGGCCTTGGGGAGAGGAATCTAGGCAGTGACTTCTCAGACAGGACTTTCCAGTGGATTCTGCATGTGGAAGCAGGGGCAGGTCGTCCCTCCCCATGTCTGCGGGCTCCATGCAGCCGTCATGTCCTTGCCTCTGCAGGTTCTAGGGGAGGCCCACTATGTGTTCCTCTTCCTGCTCGCTTATTTCCTGGTCTGGGGGAATTTCCTTTTGGTTGGAGGTCCATGCTGTGCAGTGATCACCTGAGCCTGTGCAGGGACAGCCTCACCATCTCTGCTGCCACAACTTCCATCAGAGAAACAAGGAGGCTAGACAGGTTCAACAAAATTCTAATCATTCTCACTGACACAAAATAATAAGTCTTCCAAGCACTGCCCTTCCTATGCTGCACCTCCTCACTTAAAAGGCTTAGAAATGTCAGCCTGAAACCTGAGCATATGATGCCAATCATGTTTCTGGCTGAGACGATTTTATTCAGTAGCACTCCCTGGCTGCCAGCTTATTGTGAATGGCCAAAACCCAGGGGTAGGGCTTTCCTGATGTAGGGGTAGGGCTCCTTCCCTCCCTACACTCTCGGGACAGTTGGACCCCATGATATGGCCCCCTCCCAGATCTGACACTGCAGCCATCTTTCTCATCTTTTACTCAGTTCATTAACAAACAGCTATTGAGTTCCCATGCATAGTCATTGGCCCCTGCCTTCTGTGTCCTGATGAATTAGCCTCTTGTTATATTTGGGAAAGAGCCCAGAGTTTGGGGTGTGAAAGGCCCTTGGTTGTGCCACATATAGGCTTGTGATTTCTGGGGGATCCAATTAATGCTTCTGGGCACATAATCAGTGCCGCCCCCTCCCATCAAGGTTGGGAGAGTCACATGCGATGGTGAAGGTGAAAGGCCCTTGTAAATAAGGGACACATGCCTGTGGTTGTTGTCATCCTTACAAGTGGATTCCCTTGGATTGTTGTTCATGCAGCAGTCCCTGCACTTTGCCTTTCCCTGCTGCCCTGGCAAGCAGGCCTCGTGCTGGCCCAGAGGTGCCCTGCTATTAGTACCCAATCCTGACTGAAGCTTGAGCAGCCTTGCCCAGATTTAGGCATCTGGAATAGCCTACGGCCCTTCTGCCCTCTTGCCCTGCCTTGCCACCATGGTGCCCACTGCCTGCCTTCCCAATACAAACATTTCTGCTTAGTCCCTTCTGCCCATGACCTCAGCAGCCTGCAGTCCCCACCAAGTGTGATGCCCACTTGTTCTTTCCAGTGCAGGTAATAGCCAGCTGCCTCCTCCTCCCACATCTAGCCCTTGGAGCCCCAGATTTTCAGCCAGCCTCTAAACTCTTTCTTCTCACCTGACCAGAGGTCCAGAGGCCCAGCCAGTCACCTGCTTACCCTCAAGACCTGGGCTCTCTGGGGCCCCACCTGCAGGCAAACTGCAGCCTTCCATCCTGTGTCTGAGTCCCCAGACCCAGGCATAGACCTCAAGGCTGGACACCTGCCTCTTTCCTCCCCACTCCCTAGTAGCCTGGCAAAGCCTGAATGGACCAGTTTCCCAGGCTGGCAGGATTCAACTACCCCCACCCTTGGGCCCCACACCCCCTTAGCCTGCCCTCACATTCTCCTCTGGTTGGCTTAGGTCAATACAACAAACACATGTGCAATAGGAGGGATCTAAATGAGACAAGGTGGGGAAAAGGGAGAGATGAGAAGAGAGTCCCAATGGGTGCTCTGCCAGTGCAGTCCTTCAGCAATTCCCAGAACATGATCAGAACCAATGCCTTCCGTACCCCTTTGGGACTTACTGTCCCATGTCTAGAAAAATCTTCCAGCTGAGAGTCACAGAGCAGCTGAGAAAATTTAAATAAACATGGGGCTCTTTTTGCAATCTTTGGTGCTTGCTCATGTGAGGATGTGTATTGGAGAATCAATATTGGAGAATCAGAATATTAAAACATCAAAGGGTATCACTTTTGTACAGTTTCTCTTGACTGATTTTCATGTGAAGAAAGAAAGGACCAGAGCCAAGAAGATGATGGGACAGAGGAGTGAGTGTACAAGGGTTACGCATCTGCAATCAGATTTCTCCCAATATTTCATTGCTGCTGATTCTTTGGAGGCTCTTTTTTCCAATGCTCTCTCCTTTTCCTTCCTGAGAAATTTATTTCTGTCTCTGGCATCAGTCTAGCCCCCTGAGGAGGATCAAGCCAGGAAAGCTGTCCACACCATCTGCCTTTTCTGAGGGTTTCTGTCTTCCTCTATTACACCACCAGCACTCTCACTTCTCCTTTGGCCTTCCCCTTTTTCTGGTTCATTATGCATTCGGGAAAGTTGTGTTTTTGTCTTGCCATTGAGTGGGAGTTCCCTCTGTGTGATCAAGTGTTACCATGTAGTTTTGGACTTTGGCCACTTCCAAATTCCCCACCTACTTCTATGCAGAGGTTGTGATTTCCTTTTTCTCTCTAATTCATTTATATTTGTGCTTGACTGTAGCAGGCTGTAGTGAGTGGTGCTGTAGCCTATGTTGGGGTCACCTGTGGTTAGCTCTGGCTAAGCCCACAGCTTCCTTAGCCTCTCTGCCTGCAGATATTCTAGGGAGTGGGCCCTGGGAAATGAATGACTCAGGAGTAACTTTCAATTCATGAGGAAAAATGTCCCACAATCCTTGCTCTTGGTGTAAGAATCTGGGTGTGTTTTACACAGTGTCTGTGGGTCCCTGGTGGGACTGAGCCCTACTTGCCCCATTGGTAATATGCTCTTCAATGCACTTATTCACTGGCATCATCTCCATCTCCTCCGTGTTTTCCATTCCTACTCCTTCCCTCTGTTTCCTGGGATCACTTCCCAAATAAACTACTTCTACAGGAAAGCTTGCAGGGTCTGCTTATAAAGGAAACCAAATAAACCCAAGAACTAACTAAAACCTTGTTTATCCTCTTGCCCTCGGTAGCTGCAGCTTTATTTGAACCCCTGGCCGCCAGGACTGGAAAACACCCAACTGTCTAGTTTACCTCCTGCCCACCCCAGCCCCAATTTATGGCTGGATTCACTCCATTACATGTTGCTCCATTTCTAAAGTTTGTATTTTCCAGTCATGAACTAGTCTAGTGATTGCGAGCTCTATACACCAAGACCTAATTTCTGGTATGAAAGTATCTCCTAGCTGGAGATGGCTTCTGAGTAAGGAGGAGGGCTGAGAAAAGCAGCTTTGGATGGGGATAATGAACAGGCTAGAGTTGGTGTTTAAAATCCAAGTGGCCACTTCCAAAGATAGGCACCTTCCTTTCATAATTGTTCTGTTGGATGGAAAGCCTGAAATGGCTTCTGCTCATTCAGGTGTTGCTGATGACGAAGTAACATGGCCCAGCGCTGCTACCTAGTGATCTCTGCTGGTGCTCACTCAGATGGGGCTGAGAGAAGACTTTGTGACCTATGTGAGATAATTTTAGGTGTTAGACAGATGAACATATTTGGTGTTAATGTACTTCATCATCACCCCTTGTTTTTGGCAAGTGGTAGTGGATTGCCTTCATACTCATGAAAGAAAGTTTCTTTTTTTAAAAAAAAAAATAATATATTTATTTAAATAAAGGAAAAAGTCAACTAGTACTTGGATACCACAAAACATTGTGAGGTACTGAAATTTGGGAAACAGCATCAAAGAGTGCTTATGCAGGGAGCATGAATTTGCTTTGTCCTTCTTGCTAATGTCAACCATTGTTTATGACCTTTAAATTCTTGTTTCACACAAGGTGGGGATTTTCTTATGATTTAAAAAGATATTTTTGGAAACCAAAGCATATTCCTGACAAGCCTGTGTAAGCAAGACTTTTTAAGCTGGGTCAACTGATTGCTTGACTAAATGAGGAGCATAAAAATAGACTTTCAGACTTAGATTGAAATTCCAGATATTTGCTTCTGGAGGCTGCTACTGCTAACCCATGCCCAGCTGCACATAGGCAGGCTTGGCTCAGCTGATGGGTGGTGGTGATTATTGATTGCTTAAGAACTGAGCTATAAATGAAGGAACTGAAAGCTCAGCACCTCACCCCCAGTGCCTTCTTGGCTGTTTGGGCTGACCTGCCACTCCAGGCAGGAACTCTCATTTACAGGAACATATTTATTTTTACATATCAATGATGTATTTTTGATGTACTTGATTAAGTAATATGGGTTCAGCCCCAGGAAACACTATTCCAGTTTATAAATAGTGAGTTCAGGAGTATATAATATTTCTGACATTAGAGCAGTATTTTTGTTTTTATGTGTCTCTGTACCTTTACTTTTTAAAAGACCACTCTGACCCAAATACATTCTGCTTTTGTTTCCAAAACACATATTTGTATGAATTTCTAGAACCATCTGCTGTGTTCTTTTCTCAACCACCTAACTGTACACATTAATCCCAGATAACAAGTATTCATTATATTCCAGATTAAAAACCTAAGTCCCCCATTAGAAGCCCAACCTTTGAGGTCCATGTTACTTTAAGGCAGCCTCACCTTACTACTTGGAATGAGGCTTTATTATTTGACAACAATACAGCCTCACAGAGATTTCAGCATTCATCATATCATTTATTCAGGCTCCTGAGAGATTCCACTAAACCCGACGAAGCAGCTTTTTATCTTTGGTTGACTTCTTCTCTCTCCACTACCTTTACAAATCTCAGCAGAAATGTAGATCTCAGCCCTTTTCAACAAACCGAATAGCCATCAGAAGGGCCAGCAATACTTCCCTCTCACCATTCCTCTCCATGTCTCCAAAAATGGCCAGACAGTGAGAGCTTGGACACCAACCGGTTAGGGCACACGAGCGACCACTTCCAGAAAGGAGGCAGGCTGGTGAATGCAGTGTTCTGCCTTGGAATGGTGAATGGTATGGAATTCACTGTCCTTGGGTGGCCCTTTGTGAACTCTGCTCCTAACTATTGAAATCTTAGTCCCTCTTCATAGCCTATTTCATTGAGAAAACACTGCAGCCAATAACCATGCTGAATTTTATTTCTAATTAACACATCTTGAGGAACTTTCCATAAAGCCCAGGGCCTGTAGTCTCTAAACCTCTCTAGCAGTCAACCAGGTATCTTCTGAAATGACAGAGAAAGCGGAATGATTCTATATCATTGATGGTGGCCTCAGTCTCTGTTGCTTTTAAAGCCTTTTAAAAAGATTGTCCCCTGGATTTGTTAATTACCTGTTGGAAGTGTGCCATTCCAAAGTGCAAATTGTTTGTAGACACTATTACAGTTTGAAGTAGCAGTGGCAGCACCTTGAAATTAGCAGCAGAGAAATAAGTTGAACAGACTGGTTTCTGTAAGCTCCACTGAGACACTCACTGTTCCCAGGTCTCCCAGCACCCAGTACCCCCTCCCCAGTAATGTATTGTCTCTAGTGGTTTGCTGCATGGAATAGCACTATTAATGTCAGCTCTCCTAAGGCAGAAGGTCTATGTATAGTTGGAAAATGTGTAAAACAAAGAAAGGGCTTTAGGTTAATGGGAAGGCAAGTTGAGTCACCAGGGTGTGTCAAATCTAAGAGGCAATTTGGGGAATGGGACCAATGTGCAAACACGTACATATCCTGAGGGCTGCCAGTCATAGGATCCCTAAGTGAAACATAACACCAAATTTATCAATCCCAGCAAAACCTGGCAGGGAGCATAAACAGTATTGTGTGTTGTTGTTGAGCCATTTTCTCTCAAGAATTAGCAAAGTCATGAACAGAGTTTGGATTCTACATTGTTTGCAATCCTTGAAATGCCAGCAAGCATCCTGAGAATAGAGACCATTCTGAATTCTAAATGAATGTACTTTAAATCATCCAAAGCCTTAGAACATGATACAGCACAGACAGGTCTTAATTTTGGATGAAAGTCTCACCATTGTCTAATATTGACATCTTACCATAGTAGCAGCAGGCGTTGTATAGTGTATTGGTCCATAACCATTTGTTGAATGCATGAGTGACACAAGAAAGTGATTGGCTTGTTACAAATACATTCAGAGAGCTATCCAGAGCAGGGCTGTCCAATAGAAGTGCCTGTGATGATGGAGGTGTTTGTTCTGTATCTGGGTTGTCCGGTATGGCGGCCACCAGCTGACTATGGCTACTGAGCACTTGAAATGTGGATACTGCTACTGAGGAATTGAATTTTAAAATTAATTTAACTTTCATTAACTTAAGTTTAAATAACCGTATGTGGCTAGTGGCTAGTGTCTCTGGTCAGTGGCAGATGTCCATGGGACATCTTTAAAAAACTTTTATTGCAGTTTAGCACACATGTAAAAAATAGTACAGATCACAAGGATATATACCTCAGTGGCTTTTCACAAAGTGAGCACACACATCACCAGCACATAGATCAAGAAATAGAACATATCAAAACCCTAGAAGCCCCTGCATGCCCCACACTGTTTCTCTTCCCCTGGGGTAATCACAGTCTCTACTTGAAACACTATGGATGAGTTTTGAACTTTATACAAAACTTTATACAAATTTTATACACTTGTCATTGTGGGATTCTTCCACATTTTTACATGTAATTGCACTGTTTCTATCCCCCTGGGGTAATCACAGTCCCTACTTGAAACACCATTGATGAGTTTTGAACTGTATACAAACTTTATACACACACTTGTTGTTGTGGGGTTCGTCTACATTTTTACATGTAATTGCAGACCATTTTCTTTCATCACTGTATGCTAACCCATTGTGTCAAAATACACAGCTATATGCATAAGTCAGCCATTTACAATCATATTTTTATTCTTTTTTTTTTCTGCCCTATATAGGAGAGCATGGCATCTGCACAGATGTGGCCCCAAACAGAAGTCCTAAGTCTCATTGTGACCCGACTAAAATCTTATCCTAACCACCAAGGCAGAGAGAATATGGTGCATTGGTCAGAAAACACCAGCTCTGCAAGTGTAGAAACTTAGCCTGTTTAGCACCTACCCCCAGTTCCTCAAACAGGGTCTGCCTCATCATAGCAGTAGCTCAATAAATGTCTGTTGTTGAAAGGGGGTAAGTTTTAGTGTCAAACAAATCATATTTCATATCTGATTTGGCCTTTGTATTCCATATGAACATGGACAAATCATGTAACTCAGATGTCTATCCACTAAAAGGGAATGATGACTCTTACAGAATTTGGGGGAGGATTCAATGAAAAGCCTTGAACTGCACCTGGCAGAGTGCCTCACATCCATCAACCAATGAATCAGAATGTTTCTTCCCTATCTGTTCATTTAATTGGCACTGCAACTTGCAAGCTAATCTTTTTCTAGCTAAAGAGGAGTAATAGCTTTTCTAGATGACTCATTGCATCAAACTAAGAATGTAGGACGGTAGCCAGGCCTAGAGCAGCAGAGAGTGTTCAAGAAACAAGAAACGGCAGCAGCCTTGCTTATTCTTTGGTAAATAGAGCAAATTAGCTTCAGTGTGATTGTGGAGCAACATGGCACCTTTATCTGGAATTGGTTGAACAGTGATTATATTTGCCGTGGGATCACATGCCATTGACCACATGTGCAATTGCACTTATGCACTTGGCCAGTGCCAATCTTGGAATCAAGGTGGTGCCAAGAGGACTGTGCAGCCTCTGATGGAGAGAAGGCACTCTCAGAGAGCCAAGAGCATCTGTTAGGCCAGCTATTCCAGCGTAGTCAATCTAGTCCAGTCTAGTTTGTTTAAAGGACAACAGTAATATTTTGTTTTTAACCCTGCAAAAATAGACCAAATGCATTGACCGCTTGTCATGGCATGCACATTCAGGCTAGACTTTGGCGAAGCACAGCAGCCTAGGGCTGAGCCTGAAGGTTTGCTTGATAGACAGTCTTAGTATCTCAGAGTCCGCAGGAGAAGAATGGTTGCCTCATAGAATTTACCTCTTGAAATACTATGACAAATCTCCTTTCCCACATCCTTCTTGTAAATCATAAGCTTGGAATATTTAGGTGGCCTTTTGCCAAAAGGCCAGCATCAAATATTTATACAGTATGAAGGCAAATAGCTTTTTGTGGACAGTAGGGAAGCATCTTGGCTTTCATAAAAAATGCTGTGATAATGGAATGTTTTCCATAGATGGAGGGTGGTTTACCCTTTTTACATCAGAGCATTAACTCTAAGATAGACCTATTTATGCCCAAGTCAGTGCACATTACAGTGAGGCTGAGCCATGAAGGTAATGAGGAGACAAGCAGTGACAAGGCCATCAAAACAAGTGAATCTTTAAAAGCCTAGCTATCTGCTCTCTGTAGTTCATTGATTTTTTTGCTGTTAGGTGACCAGATTTTGACAGCCATTCTGAACTTCAGCCTCATGGTTAAGTAGGTGAATCAGTGCTCTGGATTCAGAATACTGGCACATTATGCTGAGGTGGGGAGGCTGGGAAGCAGGCAGTGGATGAGGTGGGTGGTGAATAACGATCCGTGTGTGTTCCTCCTTCATACCACCAAGCTAGCTGTAGCTTTCCCTGCTGACTACACAGCCCCTCTCCCAGGCCTGTGACTTAGGAGGAAGGAGAGGAAGCTCAGCAGGGAATGGAGAAAAAGTCTGGATGGGATTCAGAATACTGGAGCATTATGCTGAGGTGGGGAGGCTGGGAGGCAGGCAGTGGTTGAGGTGGGTGGAAAATAAGGATCTCTGTGTGTTCCTTCTTCATACCCCCAAGCTAGCCATAGCTTTTCCTGCTGACTGCACAACCTGCTTCCCAGGCCTGTGACTCAGGGGGAAAGAAAGGAAGCCTGTCAGGGGAAAGAGAAGAAGTCTGGATGGGCTGTGAGTGTCCCCTTCCCTCTTCTGGACCTCAGTTCTGCCATGCTCACCATGGTCAGGCTAAACATCACCATATAATTTGTGTTGAATTAGGCCCATAAGTACTTAAAGCACATGGCAGGCACATTTAAAGGGCCTGGAGGTTTTCCACTGAGAATATATGTAGGTAGAGGCTTTGGAAATTTGATGTAACATATTTTGGTAGAAGTCTTGAGGAAATGTGTGCCATCTTGATATAACCCTGAGGGGCTCATTGAGTGTCTTCTGGTCTCAAGCATGCTTAGGTCAGGATTTGGGAGGGCTATACTCAAAAAGGTCTCTTACGGCATCCCTACTGTGATGGGGCTCCAGATGGACTCCTGGAATATTACTCAGAAGTTAAAAAGTGAGCTGGATTGTGGTTCATGCTTGCCTTCAACCCCAAAATACTTTTGACGTGATTTAGCTGTACAGCAGCTGTTTTTCCCTGATCACCTATGAAATATGTCTTTTTAGGAGGCCATGGAATAAGCACTTGGGACAAATTTTTCGGCAAAACAGATGAGAGAAGCAAACTTAGAACCTGCCAAGGCTATTTGATAACAGACTGTCAGTATAGTAAACAAGAAACTGGAGCATGTTATTGGTTTACCCATAGTTATCTTACTTGAAATGTAGAATTATCTTACATTCGGATAATATTAGGATAAGGCTCCTGTGCTTGTTACTCTTACAATCATGGTTTGTTGAACTGGTTAGGCCACACTGTTATTCTCAATAAGGACCCAGGCTAAGCAAATTACAGTGGTCTTGTTTTTTAGGTCTAGGTTGAGCATTGTGTCTATCAGCTATTGCTCCAATAATGCTGAGTAACAAACCACTTCAGAACTGATTGGCTTACAAAGGTAACAATTTATTCTGGCAGATTTGGGGGTTGGCTGGAGCAGCTCTGTTGAGGCAGACCTGGTCTCAGCTGGGCTCCACTGGGGCAGCTCTGATCCATTTGTCTTTCATCCCTCTAGAACCAACTGGCTAGCTGGGGCATGCCCTCTCAACATAATAGCAAAGTCAAAAGAGGCCAAGCTCAACCACACACATGCTTTTTAGGCCTCTGTTTGCATTACACCTGATAATATCCCATTGGCCAAACAAGTCAGATGAACAGAGCCCTAAGTCGCTGACCTCCCCAATACTCAGTTTAGTCTTAATCACCTTCTTTCCTGATTCTGCTGCTCACCTGATCCTTGTCTGTCCCTCATTCACTATGCATGTCAGGCTGTCTGTCCCTTCCTCCTGGAACTCTCAAACCTCAGATCCGTATCCCTTGCTTGCTTAGTTCACTGAAATTGGGGAGCCCTACACTGATGCATCTTTCAAAAATAGCTACCACCACTGTGTCCACCTTCACACTCTCCCCTTGGCCCACTTGGCATTTTATAGCATTTATCACATCTGACATTATGTTACTTTCTTCCTCCTCCACTGCAAGGTAAGCTTAATGGGTGGTGGGGACTTTGTCTTACTGCTTGTGAGGCCTCTAGTGACTTACAAGAGTACTTGGTACATAATAGGTTCCCAGCAGGTATCATAATGAACGGCTGGAAGTTTATTCAGAGTAAACTTGAACTCCAGTAACATGTCACTCATGCTTCTGAGGCCCTATCTTACATTTTTAGACTCCTCTAAGGAAAGTTTTTCCATTAAGATTATACTAAAATTGTCTCCCCATAGTTTTAAAAAACTATTTGATTCTAGTTATGCCTTCAAGAACCTTGGAGAGGAGAGAAAAAAGGAAATTCTTTGTCATCTGTGTTGTCCATTTACTTCTGTTACACCCATTCTAACTTGTTAATAACATCACAGAAAAGGATATAAAAGAAAACTCAAATTGTGTGTAATTCCACCACTTATAACTGCTGCTAGTATTTTGTGTATTTCCTTAAGGTTTGTCTAAACCGTTTTAACATAAAAATCTATATTGAGCTCATATGGCAGTTTCATATCATAGTTTTTTTCTCCATAATATTATATCAAAAGTATTTTTCTGAATCACTAAATTCCCATGATATTTTTAGGGGCAGCCTGGTATTAATTGTACAGAAATCTCTAAATTTAACTGTTTTTCTGTGGTTAAATATTTGGATTGTTGAACATTAAGTTTTTAAGCAATTTTATAAGTAAGGCTTGTAGATGGATATTTGATAGCATTGGAGGTTATTACCTCAGGACAGAAAAGAAAGGTAAGTTTTCTGGGTGAAAGAGGGTAGACTTTTTGTGGCAAGCTACTGCAAGATTGTTAAATTGCTTTCTAGAAAGTTTGTACAGTTAAAATTCCCTTAAGCACTGTAAACTTTCCCATATCACTGTACCTTTACCAGCAGTGACAATTTTGTTTTCAAAATTTGTCAACTTGCTAAATAAAAAAGAAGTTGAGGACTGGAGCAGTGGCTCATGGCTGTAATCCCAGCACACTGGGAGACCAAGGATCACTTGAGTCCAGCAGTCCAAGACTAGCCTGAGCAACATAGTGACCCCCATCTCTACAAATAATAAAAAATTAGCTAGGGGTGGTGGCATGTGCCTGTGTTCCCAGCTACTCGGGAGTCTGTATGGGGGTGATCACTTGAGCCCAGGAGTTTGAGGCTGCAGTGAGCCATTATTGTGCCATGGCACTACAATCTAAGAAACAGAGTGAGATCCCCATCTCTAACAAACAAATAAAAAAAAAGATGGCAATTTTTTTTCAATGTTTGTTGGCCATGGAAAGAGAAAGAGAAATAATTAATTCCTAGTTTAAGTCCTTTGTTTCTAATGGTGTTTTAGTATTTTTAACTATGTGTAAAACTTTTCATATATAAATATATTAAGCTTGGCCTTTATTTTTGTTATTGTTGTTGCAAATAATTTTCTCATGTTGATGACCTTTTGCTTATGGAGTCTTTTGGGAGACAAAAGCGAAAAATTGTTATATGTTCACATTTGTCAGTCTTTTTCTTTATGACTTCTAGATACTGGCAGTTCCAGGAACTCCAACATGATTCAGAAGACTTTCTGAATTTGTCTCACTTCCCTCTCTGTGGAAAAAAAAAAAAAAAGGTCACATTATTATGGATTTGTTCTATTGAAAATTGTCCCTTTAGAAAAGCATGTCATTGAAATGTGCTTTGTATGTGTGTTAGTTTGCTAGGACTGTCATAACAAAATACCACACACTGGGTGGCTTAAACAACAGACATTTATTTTCTCTCAGTTCTGGAGGCTAGACGTCCATAGTCAATGTTCTGGCAACTTCAGTTTCCGGCTAGGGCTCTCTTCCTGGCTTGCAGACAGCCACATTCCTGCTGTTTCCTCATGTGGCTTTTCATCTTTACACACTCCAGGAGAGGGAGAGAGAGGGCTCTGATTTCTCTTCCTCTTATAATAAGGACACCAGTCCTATTAGACTAAGGCCCCATCCCACACTAATTTAAAGGAGAACTAGGACTTCATTTAACCTTAATTACCTTCCTAAAGGTTCTGTCTCCAAATATAGTCACATTGGGGGTTAGGGCTTTACCATATGAATTTTGGAAGGACACAATTGAGTCCATAATGTTATGATTGAGCATTGTTTATAGCATAGAATCTGGGAACCAAGAGACATTGTCTGTCCATCATCCCATTTTACAGATGAGAGACCAAGCCCTTGAAAGAGTCACATCACCTTTCATGGTAAAGCCTAGCCCCAAACCACTTGCTTCTAAGCCAGTCTTCTTTCCCCAAATCCCTTACCAAAGTGAACCTGGACCTTTAGGAGCCATGCACCAAACAAAGGGGCAAAAGGTGCTATCCTTAGTGTATTCTGCAGGGGCAGGGACTCTGTTCTGTATTTCTTTCTTTCCTTTTTCTTTTCTTTTTCTTTTTTTTTTTTTTGAGACAGAGTCTCGCTCTGTCACCCAGGCTGAAGTACAGTGGTGCAATCTCTGCTCACTGCAACCTCCGCCAACCCAGTTCAAGCAATTCTCCTGCCTCAGGCTCCCAAATAGCTGGAATAACAGGCACACCTGGACATGCCTGGCTATTTTTTTATATTTTAGTAGAGACAGGGTTTCACTGTTTTGCCCAGGCTGGTCTCAAATTCCTGAACTCAAGTAATCCACCTGCCTCGGCCTCCCAAACTGCTGGGATTACAGGCATGAGCCACTGAGCCTGGCCTGTTCTATATTTCTTTTTACCCTCATTTCCTAAGACAGTTCTTGATCATGCTATACATTTCATGTATACTTCTCAAATTGTACAAAGCTTGGGACCATTGACTAGAGCAATGCCCAGGGAAGCATTTCCAGTGGTAAAAGATTTGGGAAAATCCACCCTTCCCCAGATTCCACCTCTTGAAAAGAGCTACCTAAAATGTTGTCTGGACAGTGCCCTCATCATGAGAACTTCCAAGAATTAACACATCTAGAATGCATCTGACAAGCTCAGATCTGGTGTGTTGTGTCTCTTCCCTTTAATTAAAAAAAAAATTGTCACCTAAATAGTTTCTTCTAAAAACTGTCTCTAAATGACTGTGTTTTACCCTGGATAAGTTCTCACCAATGCATCCCGACACTGCAGCATTAAAAGGAAGATAAACACTTGAAATCAAATGGTGATGGCTAACAATGAAATTTGAGCTCACGAACTCAAGGATATTATTCAAAACTGTGAGAAAAATTAGCCTCATTCATTCTGATAGGGCTAGATAGGTTCTATGGCTGTGTGTGCCTTCTTTAATTAACATGCAGAAAAGATGTTCTGATTGGCATTATTAATGAATACAGTGGAAATGTTTGCTGCTTAGAAGACTTCTGCCACAGATGGTTTACAAACCCCACCCTGGCCTTTTTCTTTTTCCACAGATTTCTTACATGGCTTGACAGCTCGTAAGCCATCTTGAAGCTGTTTCCACAGAAGATAGCAAAAGCATACAGGGCTTCAATGCTATTTGGTTGAACAATGGACAGTCCTGGAACTAAGTGTGGGGTTGGCAGCCCTGCTTTTGTTTAGACAATTGTTGTATCCCCCTCCTCAATCTGACCTTCGGGTTGTTGCTCAGTTGTGGCTTTCTTCTGAGACGGAGTTGACCTGGTAGGTCCTAAACTCCCTTAGTCCTTTTATTCTCCTCTTTTCCCAGCCCCGCATAGGGGTTGGCCCTCCTCTTCCCTTTCTGTGGGAAAAACACCTTGCACGTACCTAGCCATTTGGTGGAAGGAGAGTTGTCTTTCATTAATTTGCATATAACTGACAGTTCTAAGTGATATAAATGAGGCCACATAATTTATGGCCTCTGTAATAATCAGAGCAGCATCGTTATCGGAGCCAGACCCTGTGGCTCTCTCTGCCAGCTATCTTCAGACTTATGCACATGAGCTCACTTAATCTTCACAGTAAGGCTTTTAAGTAAATATTCTTACTGCCTCTGTTTTTTAGATGAGGAAAATGAGGCACAGAGAGGTTAGCTCCCTGGTCCAAGATTGCACGTTAAGTGCTGAAGAATGTATTTGAGAAATGTTGACTCATGATGCCACCAAATTGCTGTGGGCAGGGGAATTTCTCAAACCATGTTCTGCTGGGCTTTGGAGGAGCTAATTTACTTCTAAGATTCACTAGTTTATACCTGAAGGGCAGTTTTCTAACTATGGAAGCATGGACTGAAGGGGGCTAGCACCTCCACAACCTGTGGGTGTTTCTTGTCAGGTGGGTCGAGAGACTGAGAAAAGAAATAAGAGACAGAGACAAAGTATAAAGAAAGAAAAGTGGGTCCAGGGGACCGGTGCTCAGCATAAGGAGGACCCGCACAGGCACTGGTCTCTGAGTTCCCTCAGTATTTATTGATCACTGTCTCTACCATCTCGGAAAGGGGGATCTGGCAGGACAATAGGGTAATAGTGGGGACAGGGTCAGAAGGAAAACATGTGAACAAAGGTCTCTGTGTCATAAATAAGTTTGAGGAAATGTGCTGTGCCTTGATGTGCACACACACAAACATCTCAGTGCAATAAAGAGCAGTATTGCTGCCAGCATGTCTCACCTCCATCACTAAGGTGGTTTTCTCCTACCTCAGTAAACAGAACATACAATCAGGTTTTACACTGAGACATTTTATTCCAAGGGATGAGCAGGAGACAGATGCCTTCCTCTTGTCTCAACTGCAAAGAAGCCTTCCTCTTTTACTAACGCTCCTCAGCACAGAGCCTTTACAGGTGTCGGGCTAGGGGATGGTCAGGTCTTTCCCTTCCCATGAGGCCATATCTCAGGCTGTCACATGGGGAGAAGCCTTGGACAATACCTGACTTTCCTAGGGAGAGGTCCCTGTGGCCTTCCGCAGTGTATTGTGTCCCTGGTTACTTGAGATTAGAGAATGCCAATGACTTTTAACAAGCATACTGCCTTCAAGCACTTTTTTAACAAAGCGCATCCTGCACAGCCCTAAATCCATTAAATCTTGAGTTAACACAGCACATGTCTCTGCAAGCACAGGGTTGGGACTAGGGTTACAGATTAACAGCATGTCAAGGCAGAAGAATTTTTCTTAGTACAGAACAAAATGGAGTCTCTTATGTCTACTTCTTTCTACATAGACACAGTAACAGTCTGATCTCTCTTTCTTTTCTCCACAATGGACTTTTTGGCCTAGTCTCTTGTACACACAAGGGAGAAGCTATTTGGACATTGAAAAGTAATTTCTTGGGGTGGAGCCAAGATGGAAGAATAGCAACAGATCCAGTCTACAGCTCCCAGCATGAGTGATGCAGAAGACGAATGATTTCTGCATTTCCAACTGAGGTACTGGGTGCATCTCACTGGGGATTGTCAGACAGTGGGTGCAGGACAGTGGGTGCAGTGAACCCAGCCTGAGCTGAAGCAGGGTGAGGCATCACCTCACCCAGGAAGTGCAAGGGGTTGGGGAATTCCCTTTCCTAGCCAAGGAAAGGGGTGATGGACGGCACCTGGAAAATTGGGTCACTCCCACCCTAATACTGCACTTTTCTGACAGTCTTAGTAAATGGCACACCAGGAGATTATATCCCATGCACGGCTTGGAGGGTGCTACACCCACGGAGCCTCAGTCATTGCTAGCACAGCAGTCTGAGATCGAACTGCAAGGTGGCAGTGAGGCAGTGGGGAGGGGCGCCTGCCATTGCTGAGGCTTGAGTAGGTAAACAAAGTGGCTGGGAAGCTCAAACTGGGTGGAGCCCACCACAGCTCAAGAAGGCCTGTCTCCCTCTGTAGACTCCACCTCTGGGGGCAGGGCATAGCCAAACAAAAGACAGCAGAAACCTCTGCAGACTTAAATGTCCCTGCCTGACAGCTTTGAAGAAAGTATTGGTTCTTCCAGCACACAGCTTGAGATCTGAGAACAGACAGACTGCCTCCTCAAGTGGTTCCCTGACCCCAAGTAGCCTAACTGGGAGGCACCCCCAGTGGGGGCAGACTGACACCTCACATGGCTGGGTACTCCTCTGAGACAAAACTTCCAGAGGAACGATCAGGCAGCAACATTTGCTGTTCACCAACATCCACTGTTCTCCAGCCTACACTGCTGATACCCAGGTAAACAGGGTTTGGAATGGACCTACGACAAACTCCAACAGACCTGCAGCTGCGGGTCCTGACTGTTAGAAGGAAAACTAACAGAAGGGACATCCACACCAAAACCCCATCTGTACGTCACTATCATCAAAGACCAAAGGTAGATAAAACCACAAAGATGGGAAAAAAAGAGTAGAACAACCGAAAAACCTAAAAATCGGAGCACCTCTCCTCCTCCAAAGGAATGCAGCTCCTCACCAACAATGGAACAAAGTTGGACAGAGAATGACTTTGATGAGTTGAGAGAAGAAGGCTTCAGATGATCAAGCTACTCTAAGCTAAAGGAGGAAGTTTGAAACCTCCATGGCAAAGAAGTTAAAAACCTTGAAAAAAGATTAGACGAATGGCTAACTAGAATAACCAATGCAGAGAAGTCCTTAAATGACCTGATGGAGCTGAAAACCATGGCACGAGAACTACTTGACAGATGCACAAGGTTCAGTAGCTGATTCGATCAACTGGAAGAAAGGGTATCAGTGATGGAATATCAAATGAATGAAATGAAGCAAGAAGAGAAGTTTAGAGGAAAAAGAATAAAAAGAAATGAACAAAGCCTCCAAGAAATATGGGACTATGTGAAAAGACTAAATCTGCATCTGATTGGTGTACCTGAAAGTGACAGGGAGAATGGAACCAAGTTAGAAAATACTCTGCAGGATATTATCCAGGAGAACTTCCCCAATCTAGCAAGGCAGGACTACATTCAAATTCAGGAAATACAGAGAATGCCACAAAGATACTCCTGAGAAGAGCAACTCCAAGACACATAGTTGTCAGATTCACCAAAGTTGAAATGAAGGAAAAAATATTAAGGGCAGCTAGAGAGAAAGGTCAGGTTACCCACAAAGGGAAGCCCATCAGACTAACAGCTGATCTCTCAGCATAAACTCTACAAGCCAGAAGAGAGTGGGGGCCAATATACAACATTCTTAAAGAAAAGTATTTTCAACCCAGAATTTCATATCCAGCCAAACTAAGCTTCATAAGTGAAGGAGAAATAAAACACTTTACAGAAAAGCAAATGCTGAGAGATTTTCTCACCACCAGACCTGCTCTAAAAGAGCTCCTGAAGGAAGCGCTAAACATGGAAAGGAACAACCAGTAACAGCCACTGCAAATACATGCCAAATTGTAGAGACCGTCATGGCTAGGAAGAAACCGCATCAACTAATGAGCAAAATAACCAGCTAATATCATAATGACAGGATCAAATTCACACATAACAATATTAACCTTAAATGTAAAGGGGCTAAATGCTCCAATTAAAAGACACAGACTGGCAAATTGGATAAAAAGTCAAGATCCATCAGTGTGCTGTCTTTAGGAAACCCATCTCACATGCAAAGATATACATAGGCTCAAAATAAAGGGATGGAGGAAGATCTACCAAGAAAATGGAAAATAAAAAAAAGGCAGGGGTTGCAATCCTAGTCTCTGATAAAACAGACTTTAAGCCAACAAAGATCAAAAGAGACAAAGAAGGCCATTACATAATGGTAAAGGGATCAATTCAACAAGAAGAGCTAACTACCCTAAATATATATGCACACAATACAGGAGCACCCAGATTCATAAAGCAAGTCCTTAGAGACCTACGAAGAAACTTAGACTCCCACACAATAATAATGGGAGACTTTAACACCCCACTCTCAACATTAGACAGATCAACAAGACAGAAAGTTAACAAGGATATCCAGGAATTGAACTCAGCTCTGCACCAGGCAGACCTAATAGACATCTGCAGAACTAACCAAACCAAATCAACAGAATATACATTCTTTTCAGCACCACACCACACCTATTCCAAAACTGACCACATTGTTGGAAGTAAAACACTCCTCAGAATATGTAACAGAACAGAAATTATAACAAACTGTCTCTCAGATGACAGTGCAATCAAACTAGAACTCAGGATTAAGAAACTCACTCAAAACCGCTCAACTACATGGAAACTGAACAACCTGTTCCTGAATGACTACTGGGTACATAACGAAACAAATACAGAAATAAAGATGTTCTTTGAAACCGACGAGAACAAACACACAACATACCAGAATGTCTGGGACACATTCAAAGCAGTGTGTACAGGGAAATTGATAGCACTAAATGCCGACAAGAGAAAGCAGGAAACATCTAAAATTGACACCCTAACATCACAATTAAAAGAACTAGAGAAGCAAGAGCAAACACATTCAAAAGCTAGCAGAAGGCAAGAAATAACTAAGATCAGAGCAGAATTGAAGGAAATATAGACACAAAACACCCTTCAAAAAATCAATGAATCCAGGAGTTTGTTTTTTGAAAAGATCAACAAAATTGGTAGACTGCTAGTAACACTAATTTAGAAGAAAAGAGAGAAGAAATCAAATATATGCAATACAAAATGATAAAGGGGATATCACCACCAATCCCACAGAAATACAAACTACCATCAGAGAATATTATAAACATCTCTATGCAAATAACTAGAAAATCTGGAAGAAATGGATAAATTCCTTGAAACATACACTTTCCCAAGATTAAACCAGGAAGAAGTTGAATCTCTGAAACTGGATCCCTTCCTTACACCTTATACTAAAATTAATTCAAGATGGATTAAAGATTTACATGTTAGACCTGAATCTCTGAATAGACCAATAACAGGCTCTGAAATTAAGGAAATAATTAATGGCTTACCAACCAAAAAAGTCCAGGACCAGATGGATGCAAAGCCAAATTCTACCAGAGGTACAAGTAGGAGCTGGTACCGTTCCTTCTGAAACTATTCCAGTCAATAGAAAAAGAGGGAATCCTCCCTAACTTACTTTATGAGGCCAGCATCATCCTGATACCCAAGCCTGGCAGAGACACAACAAAAAAAAAGAGAATTTTAGACCAATATCCCTGATGAACAGCGATGCAAAAATCCTCAGTAAAATACTGGCAAACCGAATCCAGCAGCACATCAAAAAGCTTATCCACCATGATCAAGTGGGCTTCATCCCTGCGATGCAAGGCCAGTTCAACATATGCAAATCAACAAATTTAATCCAGCATATAAACAGAACCAAAGACAAAAACCACATGATTATCTCAATAGATGCAGAAAAGGCCTTTGACGAAATTCAACAACCTTCATGCTAAAAACTCTCAATAAATTAGGTATTGATGGGATGTATCTCAAAATAATAAGACTTATTTATGACAAACCCACAGCCAATATCATACTGAATGGGCAAATACTGGTAGCATTACCTTTGAAAACTGGCACAAGACAGGGATGCCCTCTCTCACCACTCCTATTCAACATAGTGTTGGAAGTTCTGGCCAGGGCAATCAGGCAGGAGAAAGAAATAAAGGGTATTCAATTAGGAAAAGAGGAAGTCAAATTATCCCTGTTTGCAGATGACATGATTGTATATCTAGAAAACCCCATTGTCTCAGCCCAAAATCTCCTTAAGCTGATAGTCAACTTCAGCGAAGTCTCAGGATACAAAATCAACGTGCAAAAATCACAAGCATTCTTATACACCAATAACAGACAGAGAGCCAAATCAGGAGTGAACTCCCATTCACAATTGCTTCAAAGAGAATAAAATACCTAGGATTCCACTTACAAGGGATGTGAAGGACCTCTTCAAGGAGACCTATAAACCACTACTCAATGAAATAAAAGAGGATACAAACAAATGGAAATACATTCCATGCTCATGGGTAGGAAGAATCAATATCGTGAAAATGGCCATACTACCCAAGGTAATTTATAGATTCAATGCTATCCCCGTCAAGCTACCAATGACTTTCTTCACAGAATTGGAAAAAGCTACTTTAAAGTTCATATGGAACCAAAAAAGAGCCCACATTGCCAAGTCAATCCTAAGCCAAAAGAACAAAGCTGGAAGCGTCATGCTACCTGACTTCAAACTATACTACAAGGCTACAGTAACCAAAACAGCATGTTACTGGTACCAAAAAAGGGATATAGACCAATGGAATAGAACAGAGCCCTCAGAAATAATGCCACATATCTGCAAGCATCTGATCTTTGACAAACCTGAAAAAAACAAGAAATGGGGAAACGATTCCCTATTTAATAAATGGTGCTGGGAAAACTGGCTAGCCATATGTAGGAAGCTGAAACTGGATTCCTTCCTTACACCTTATACTAAAATTAATTCAAGATGGATTAAAGATTTAAAGGTTAGACCTGAAACCATAAAAAAACCTAGAAGAAAACCTAGGCAATACCATTCAGGACATAGGCATGGGCAAGAACTTCATGTCTAAAACACAAAAAGGAATGGCAACAAAAGCCAAAATTGACAAATGGGATCCAATTAAACTAAAGAGCTTCTGCACAGCAAAAGAAACTACCATCAGAGTGAACAGGCAACCTATAGAATGGGAGAAAAATGTTGCAATCTACTTATCTGACAAAGGGCTAATACCCAGAATCTACAATGAACTCAGATGAATTTACAAGAAAAAAACAAACAACCCCATCAACAAGTGGGCAAAGGGTATGAATAGACACTTCTCAAAAGAAGACATTTATGCAGCCAAAAGACACATGAAAAAATGCTCATCATCACTGGCCATCAGAGAAATGCAAATCAAAACCACAATGTCATACCATCTCACACCAGTTAGAATGGCAATCATTAAAAAGTCAGGAAACAACAGGTGCTGGAAGGGATGTGGAGAAATATGAACACTTTTCAGTGTAGGTGGGACTGTAGACTAGTTCAACCATTGTGGAAGTCAGTGTGGTGATTCCTCAGGGATCTAGAACTAGAAATACCATTTGGCCCAGCCATCCCATTACTGGGTATATACCCAAGGGATTATAAATCATGCTACTATAAAGACACATGCACACATATGTTTATTGCTGCACTAGTCACAATAGCAAAGACTTGCAATCAACCCAAATGTCCAACAATGATAGACTGGATTAAGAAAATGTGGCACATATATACCATGGAAAACTGTGCAGCCATAAAAAATGATGAGTTCATGTCCTTTGTAGGGACATGGATGAAGCTGGAAACCATCATTCTCAGCAAACTGTCGCAAGGACAAGAAACCAAACACTGCATGTTCTCACACATAGGTGGGAATTGAATAATGAGAACACATGGACACAAGAAGGGGAACATCACACCCTGGGGCCTGTTGTGGGGTGGGGGGAGGGGGGAGGGATAGCATTAGGAAATATACCTAATGTTAAATGTAATTTCTTTTTCTTTTTTCTTTTCTTTTTTTTTTTTTTTTTTTTTTGGAGATCTTGTCTCACTCTGTTGCCCAGGCTGAAGAGCAGTGGTGCATTCTCGGCTTAGTGCAAACTCTGCCTCCCAGGTTCAATCCCAGGTTCAAGGGATTCTTCTGCCTCAGCCTCCAGAGTAGCTGGGACTACAGGCACCCACCACCACACCTGGCTAATTTTTGTATTTTTATAAAGACAGGGTTTCATCATGTTGGCCAAGCTGGTCTCAAACTCCTGACCTCAAGTTATCTGCCTGCCTTGGCCTCTCGAAGTGCTGGGATTATAGGCGTGAGCCACTGCACCCTGCCATGGATATGGACAACTGATTTCTGAACACCTGGGAAGAACACAGGATTGGCATTGCTGTGAGGGCCTCTGCCATACCGGGCTCTCCAGGCCAAGGCAAGACAGAGGTGGATACAACCTTGTGAGGAGTGTGGGGCACTGGGATCCTCTAGACAGTCAGTGCTTGCCACACCTTTGTGCCTGCTAGATCTGCAGCCTTGAGGCAGTCCCTTGCCTGTTTTTTGAGGTGAAGATGAGGTTAGGAGTAAGTTGGATGCGCCCATAGGACACTTATACTCAGCTTTGAAGCTGCAGTGGTTCCTAGCATGCGTGAATTGGGGAGCAAGGCTGTTTGGGGCATGCCTGAATCTGAACAGGGATGGGAAATAACTGATTGCAAGTGTGTTAGCAATGGAGTACCCAGAAGAGCTGGAGGAGTCAGAAGCAGGAGATGGAAAATCACAGCATCCAGGGCTGGTTAGCATAGGGGCTAGAAGTCCTGAGGGAAGTAAGGAACGAGGTGACAACCTGGTGTGAGGTCAGCTCCACCAGTTACTCCTGTGTCACCATGGTGCCCCTGGTCTCTCCAGCGTCCATGCTCCTAACTAGATATGGGATGCAGAGGAAATAAGGCTCAGAGCAAGATGCCAAGCAAGCATGGGCAGGTCCTGTCATTTCTTAGGACCCTGCCCTTCCTCAACTGTAAGCCTAGCAAGTCACGTGCCCCATCATGTGTGGTAGAGTGAAGGCTCCAGATGGTGGTGAAATATGAAATGCCAAGAGTTGAGGATCTGAAGGACTGAGCAGCCAGCATTCAGTTTGCTCTGTAACATTTGGCTTTAACTGCAGCGATGCATGGCTGCACCCAAAACATGTGCCCGTGCTGAGTGATTGGCAGGCCATCGGGATGTGTGTAAAATTCCTGCTGTCTGTATATTAAAATAGCTGTTAAGTTAGGGCTCTGTGGTTTGTCAAAACAGATGACATGATGGCAGTGATCCAAAATCATTTATAGAATGGTTCTTGAAAATTAGTATGACTCCAGGACCGGTAGCATCACCATCATGTGGGAAGTTGTTAGAAATGCAGATTCTTGGGGCCTGCTCCAGATCTGCTGAACCCTCTGAGGGTGAGGCCTGGCAGTCTGCATTTTAGCAAACCCTGTGGGAGATTCTGAGGCTTACTCCATTTTAAGAACCACAGTACAGATGCCACTCTCACCAGATGTCTGTGGTCATGTGTGATTGAATGACATGGGTGAAGGCAAACTACCCCAATGATGTGTCCTTCTTCAGCCTTTGAAGCTAACTGTGATCTTGATGTGGAAATGAAGTGAATGGATACTATATGAAGTGTTTGCAGGGGAAGACAATGTTACAAACTAAAATAGGGACACAGTTCTCTCTTTAATTCAAAAAAGGTCAAATTTATGAGTTAACAAGCTAGTACAGGAAAGATGAACATTTATTCAGAAACTTTTCCTCAATATGCAGATTGGTTTCCAGTAGGTTTGTGAGTTTTATTTATTTCTCAGAGATTTAAACCTTTTTCCTCTTGGCCTGTTATTTTTATGCTTTAACCTATTTGATGATGTTAGTTTGGAACCAACCTGAAACTGAAGTATTCCAAACTTGGACTGTAAGCCAAGGAATAAAACCCTGAAACATGAGTGAAATTGATACAGTCACATCTTGCTTACAGACTCAATGTGATACAGTTAGACCCTGGATTCATCCTGAAAATCAGCCACTCTCTCCCTGGCCCCAGACTGAAGTTGGTATATTTTGGCCCTGGACTCAGCAAAGAGCTGCTACATTTCAAACCTGGACCCACCTGAAACCCAAGCAGTGAGATCCTGGATCAAGCAGAAAACTGATGTAGTCAGATCTTTGTTTTACATTACAATAAATAAAGGCAGATCATGAGCTTATTCAAAATCTCAAATAGTCAGTCCCTGGATGCAGACAGAAGTTGACATAATTCACCCTTTTATGCAGTCTGAAACCTTCCTACTAAGTTTCTGGCCCAAGGTTCTATCTCCAGTAGTAAAAAGATGGACCTTGCTTACAGGAAGAACACTCATATCTTGGATACTGCCTGTAACCAAAGCAGACACACACTGGATCCAGTCTGAAGCTGATATTATTGAATCCTTTGCTGTTTTTGAAGCTGGCAAAGTGAGAACCTGCATCCAGCCTGAAACAGAAATACTAAGTCCCAGAACCCACTATAAGGCTGATATAATTGCATCATTTTCTCCTCCTGAAATTGAGCCTAATGGAGAAACACTATTAATCAGTCATTTTGGCTCATTGTCCAAACATGTACCCTTTTTTGCCAGTAAAAACTGTGCCTTTCCCAGATTAGTATATTATAGTTTTGTTAACTGAGATAACTGCCACAGAAAGCCAAGATAAAAATCAATTCTGTCCACCCAAGCCAGCTTACAAGCATTTGGCTTCCTGGAAGAGTTGTTTACCAGCACTATGGCAGGAAATTAAAAATTATCCAGATAAAAGAAAACCCTGATGTCCCATGTACCTCTCTTATCTCTTTTTCTTTCTCCTTTTTCTTTCTTGTTCACTTCAATCTCCGTGAACACTGTGCCCTTCTTGTTCAGTCTTTTATTTTTGTACATTCCCTTCATTCTGCATTTTCCCACCTTGCTCCATTTTTTTCTCCTCTCCTCTGGTCTCCTCTTCTATTGTCCTATCCATAGCCTCTTCTGCTAATTCTCTTCAGAAAATATCTTCCTCAACATTTACTGAAGAGTCCATTCTTTCTCCTTCTTTTTCATCCTTGCATGCTGCTCCAGCCACACTTTTAACAAAACAACCTCTCCTGATGCCTGGATCTCAATCTGGACCCAAGCCTGGACAACAACCTCTTAGGCATGCAGAACTCAACGTTTCCCTGATTGAGTGTCAACTATCTGTGATCTGGAAAGAAAGTTTCCAGGCTTTCTGGCTCTTCGAGACAGCTGTTATTTCTCATGAAACCACAGGCACCTTTACTCTAGTCATATGTTTGAGTTAATATACTTGCTACGAAGACTCTTGTTGAACCCTAAAACCAGAATTTGTAACATCAGAGGTTATGTTCTCAGAAGTTCGGAAGACTGAAATTTAGGTTATTGTATGAATCAGCAGAGATGTCTAAATATTGAAGAATATCTTATTTTTGCCAAATAGGATTTATGAGCTATGTTTTATAAACACAATTCTATTCAGAGAACAGTATTTTAAAGATAGTCTTACTTCTTAGAAATAGTTTATTATTCCACTTGACGTATATGAATATATACACACACTATTGGATAATAGTATATTATCTTGGATATAAATAATAAGATATATATATATATCATAACTGCATATATACATATATATATTATTTGAAGGGTAAGTATGTAGATAACAACTGTAGTATATCTAAAATTGTAGGATGATGTATATTTCCATGTATTTTCTCAGAATTGAAGATACTGAATTTCCAAGCATATTTCTAAAAACCTAAAATTAGATTTCAGAAATGGGAGAGTAGTAATACTAATCTCACTCTATTCCACAGGTTTATTCCTTCTGCAGAGTGTGGATTATGCCCTGGCCATGTCCTCATGTTTCCCAACGGCTGGGAGTCAGAAATTGGTGAATTCTGTTGGATAGTTACTGTGCAGCTGTCTTTCTCCATTTCTATGGTGGCTCCATACTAAATGAACAGTGGATCCTTACCACAGCTAGATGTGCCAGTTTCAACTGTCTTTCTCCCATTTCTGTGCTGGCTCCATACTAAATGAACAGTGGATCATTACCACAGTTAGATGTGCCAATTTTACATAAGTCTAAATAATTCATTTCAAGATTAAGATATCATTATAGAGCAATCACAACATTGATATGGTTAATGAATATCTTTCTCTTTGTGTGTGTGTGTATGTGTGTCTGTGTGTCTGTGTGTGAGAGAGAGACAGAGAGAGAGTGATAGAGACAGGGTCTTGCTCTTTTGCCCAAGCTGGAGTGCAGTGGCATGATTCACAGTAGCCTCAAACTACCAAGATAAGGGATTCTTCCACCTCTGCCTCCTGAGTACATGGGACCACAGGCATGCATCACTGCATCTGGCTAACTTTTTTATTATTTTCCACAGAAATAAAGTCTTACCATGTTGCCCACCTGGTCTCAAATGATCCTCGAAAATAGTTTCTAAAGTAGTATTTGTACTTTAGTGCTTACCTGGTCTTCATCTGATTCACCTCCAGGTTTTATTCAAATTGAAATGTGGAAATAATAGAATTTTCCCTGATTTTGGTTCCCCAGAAAAATTTCAGGAGCCCTGTCCCTGGTCCAACTGGGGCATAATCATCTTCTAGATTCTGCCCAAGCTCAGACTGTCAGCATTGAACATGTCATACCCTACCTAGGTCCGAAGGCACCTCTAGGACCTGGGTTGATCTTCCTGAAGCAGCCACTACATTTTCAAACCCTGGTCCTTCCTCTATGCCCTTAGGAAAGTCTCGAACAGGAGAAATTTATACAACTATATGACTGTTGGCTACCTATTTGGTCCCTTATGAGGGGGGAGTAAAGAAGAAGACACTGGGATGGAAGAGAAGCATATTTGGAAAGAGAATAGTATCCTCTCTTGAATAATAAAAAAATTGTCTTTCTCTTCACCATACTTCTTCCTCTAATCTAGGCTAAATTTGATTTGAAAACAAACACAAACACTTCTTTTGTTTTTGTTTTTTTTTTGTTGTTTTTGTTTTTGTTTTTGTTTTGTCGCTCTGTCGTGCAGGTGTGAGTGGGGTGGCGCAACCTCCGCCCTCCGCTCACTACAAGCTCCACCTGCCGGGTTCACACCATTCTCCTGCCTCAGCCTCTCCAGTAGCTGGGACTACAGGCGCCCGCCACCACGCCCGGCTAATTTTTTTTGTATTTTTAGTAGAGACGGGGTTTCACCGTGTTAGTCAGGATGGTCTCGATCTCCTGACCTCGTGATCCGCCCGCCTCAGCCTTCCAAAGTGCTGGGATTACAAGGCGTGAGATACCGCGCCCGGCTTCTTCTCTGTTTTCCATCAGGAAGTCCTGGAATTCTGCAAAAAAAAAAAAAAAAAAAAAAAAAGGCAACTGAGCATACTACTAGTCAGCTCTTGTGCCCAATTTGGCCCCAAGCTGAGTGAACTCACTTTTTTTATGGAGGTCAAGAAAGCTATGTGGGAGCCTGGCTGTAAGGTAACAAATTCATGGAATGTGAATGCCAGGGAGAAAAAGAATATCTTGAACACCAAAAGTTACTTCTGGCCCTCCTTCAAAATACTGATTATATCTTGTCTCTTGTTTCTTGCAGAGTGACCTGGGAGCACCTTTGTTGTGCCATCTATAGCAAAAAGACACTTGGGTGCAAGTGGGAATCTTGAGTCACTTTGAGGAGCATTGCACAAAGCCCTATGTCTTCAGCCAAGTGCACCCTTTCCTTTTCTGGCTCCAGGAAGTGACATGGCCTAGCCATGCATCCTGGCACCACCAAGGGCCCGTGACTGCCTCTGCTTCCATGTCCCTTTCAGTCTCTACCTCTACAAATGCCTCAGCTTTTACCTCCACTCCCAATTCCATTCGGCCACACTACATCTCTCTGCCACAGCCTCAGAGTAAGTCTCAAAAACTTGGTAGGAGAAGTAAAGGAAGAAGAGAATGGAAATAGAAAAGAATAGAGGGAAGGAGAGGGGAGAGAAAGCTCTTCCTGAGAAATGCGTGAGTTTTTTATCTACCAAATCATAGAAATTATTTTCCTTATGGCTTACAAAGGCATTTCATACTTGATATATGATTCAATTTCCATAGTATCCCTATAGATTACTCTATGATGTAGATTATGTAACATGATTATTATAGTTATCTTAAATGCGTATTCTGACACTAGTTATGTAGAATGGATTGATCAAGTTCCCGTGGCAGAAGATGAATAGGGCTAACATTAAGACACATTCTCCTAACACAAAAACATTTCTTTACTACCACACAGTACCTTATATTTGTAATAGAGTTATTTTAAATTAAGTATATTTTAAGTTAAATATATTATGATGTTTGGAAACAGCATAGTAGTTGGTAAGTAATGAGTTTTAGGTGCTGGTGTATTAGACTGCATTACATTGAGATTATCAGTTTCCCCCTTCCCTTGGCTATCAGAAAACCTATTACGATATTAGCAATGGTTGTTTCATATTGCTGTACTTCCACTTATTTCCTTGAAAATTGAGGGATCTCTTTTGGTCTCATCTATTAAATGTGCACTTAACCACAGCTATTTTTGTAGCTACCACCTATTGCCATAGCTACATTTAGAATATAAAGGAGGCCATAATTATTTGCTCACATCCTCCAAAGACTAATTCAAATACAACTAAACTTAATATCTTAGTTATGCTTCTAATTTTATCTATATTTCCTTACCTCTTCTATAGACAGGTTATCTTCATCATTTTTATCTCTCTGTATATATTAATGAACATTGCTTCAACTCAGTTTTCTGAGGAACTCTAAAATAATTTTAAAAGTATGAGCTCTTTCCTGAACCTCAAATTTGAATTTTCTATTTAAACTATTTGTTTGATATCTCACTAAGATTATAAGTTTAGGAAGATAAGCCCCTCCAATTTAGAGACAGGTGCCTTATCTCCAAATTTTACATTATTTACCTAATATCTTCAAATCATTGTATTTTTTGTTGCCTATCTACTTCAATGACTTCTAAGGAGCTAAAATAATAGCTATATAAATGTTTCAATGGGGGAGAAAGCTGGAATGCCTCCCAATATTTTGATTAAAGCAACTTAAGCTAGAACAAAAAGAAACTATGAACTTCAAAAGGTATTAAGAGGAACACTTTTTTTCAAGAAAAATGCATAAACACAGTAGAGGTAGAAGTTTGTCTTTGCTAGTCATATTTAACAATGCTGACTTGGTTAGCACAAATAGGAGTGATTTAAAACTTAAAAAAATGGTCTACAGATGGCAATTCTGTTCAAATTAACACAGTTAGCTGATTTTTCTCCTCAGATTTAGCAGATCAGATTTCTCTGTGATATGCCATGCCATGGCAGGCTGGGATCATCAGCTGTGGCAGACAGATCTGCAGTGGTTCCATAGTTAGCAGCTTGTGGGTTCTCACAGCTGCCCACTGTGTCAGGAACATGTACACTTGTGAGTGCCTCTTCCCTTACCCTGTGATGCATTATCCCATAATTACATTGCTGAAGGTTTCTCTGTCCAAATTCGCTTCTGTAATCCATGACTATCTCCCTTATACAGATAACATTTTTGTTTTAGACTAATAAGAAATTGTCTCACTGTGTTTGGCTTATTATTACCGCTGTTAGTTAATTCCTCTACAATCCCGTTGTCTGTGGACTCTTTATTCATAGATTTCTGATTTCTCTGAAGATGAGCTAGGGACCTTGTGTATCATGACTAAAGAAATATGCTGGAAAGCCTGATGTAGGTTTAAGGTTCAGGTTTTCTAATGAATGTACTATAATAAACCTTTGCCTATGTACACAGGAATCCTGAAGACACTGCTGTGATTATTGGCCTGACGCACCCTGTGGTACCACTGAGAGTTGTGAAGTTGTCTACCATTCTACTGCATGAGTTGCAGTAGAACCCCTGGCTGGTGAGAGGGGCAGCAAGAAATGACCTGACATTGCTACTCCTCCAAGATGTCCAGACTACCATTCGGCTCTTAGTACCCTTAGGGTATGTGAAGAACCTGAATAATTCAGAATGCTGGCTCTCTGGGCCACAAATTATTATACCACATCAGCAGTTAGTTTTCTTATTGGGGTAGCAGTTAAAAAAAAATGAGGTTCATATTTTTAATATTATGGTTTAAGGAATAACTGTAATCACAATTGTATACATGACTAATTATAACATATTTAATCTACATAAAAGACCCAGTAGGAGATTTGTTTTTGTTTCATAAGATGATGGTTCTGATGATAACTTCACGGGATTTTTGATCTGAAAACAATTAGATGAGGATATTTCTCTGTACAGTCAATTTTGTAATCCAAAGTAGAGATGAGTTGCTTTCTAACTGTTTGCTAACTTCAAAACAAAAGAAAAAGAAGGTTTTTTTGTTTTGTTGTATTTTTACCTCTTTATAAAAGTGAGGCTGAACTTGACTTGGAATTTGGAATTTCATAAGTAAAACTTTACTTGTTAATTTTGAAGAGTGGCATTTAAAAAATGATTAAAGAGTGGTGATGCTGTCCTCAGTGGCTCACTCCTGTACTTCCAGCACTTTGGGAGCTTGAACTAGGAGAACCCTTTGGGCCCAGGAATGTGATACCCACTTGGCAATATAGCAAGATTTCATGACTAAACAACAACAACAAATAGCCTGGTGTGGTGTTGCACACATGTAGTCCCAGATATATGGGAGGCTGAGACAGGAAAATAGCTTGAGCCTGGGAGGTTGAGGCTACAGTGTGTGAAGATTGTGCCAATGCACTCCAGTCTGGGTGACCAAGCAAGAACTTGCCTCAAAAAAAAGAGGGGCCAGGCATGGTGGCTAACGCCTGTAATCCCAGCACTTTGGGAGGCTGAGGCTGGTGAATCACCTGAAGTCAGAAGTTTGAGAACAGTCTGACCAACATAGGGAAACCCCATCTCTACTAAAAATACAAAATTAACCAGGAGTGGTGGTGTGTGCCTGTAATCCCAGCTACTCAGGAGGCTGAGGCAGGAGAATTGCTTGAACCCAAGAGGCAGAGGTTGCAGTGAGCTGAGATCAGGCCACTGCATTCCAGACTGAGTGACAGAGTGAAAATCCATCTCAAAAAAAAGTCACTAGAAAGAGAATGAAATAGATAAATGTGTCGTGTAAAATGTTAATGGTGATAAACTGAATTTCTTTGTATAAGTTATACATATAAATTTAAAGTAATGATGAGGCATTGATAAGACATCATGATCTTATCTCAATACTTGGTGTTTAAATGTAACATATGTTCTTTAGGATAGTTATAGTCCATTTGTCTTTCTAGGAGAGACTGATGAGAATCCAGAAATGTTAAAGATGCAAGTGATGGAAGCTTCCAGCTGTGCCCACCTGTAACCTGACATAGTTCCATTGTTTGCTTCATTACTCAGGCCAAAGACTCTAATGCAAATGTGGTACACAGTCACATGTTTTTCTATCTACATGATAGAAACTATAACTTCATCCCTATATAAAAGGGTATACAGCGTATGACTAAATGATAAATATACGTGAATCACTGATCAGTAAGAAACCATTTTAAAAGTCTTTAACTACAGAACAAAATCTCTGAAAAAAATTGTTGTTAATCTCTGAGTTTTCTTACATGGGTAATTAATCTCTAGTCATACTAAATAGCTAGTATGCTGCTCTTCAAACAAATCAGATATTTTATATAATTTCCATATTCTAATAATAGTATCTTTACACCTCAGAGTTTTAAACAAGTCCAACCTTTTTCTACTTCCCCAATTAAAATAACTTTTTAAGGTTTAACCTTCAGTGATTTTTGTAGTAATATTTTTGAAGGTATTTGATCAGGATGCTTTACTTATGTACTTATCTGATGTCTCCCTTTGTTCTGTATACATATTTTATTACACACTTATTAGATCTAAGTTTAAGAAGTTGGAACAGGGATTTAAATCCAAATTATATATTTTAATTTACAGGAGTCAGTGTGTCCAGGAAGTGACATTATCTGCAGACCAATACTGGCAATGGCAGTTGGAGACAAATAGGCTTCACCAGTCTCAAAGCCCTACCTACTACAATGAGTCCACACTTCTCCTGGATTTTATCTACTTCAGCAAAAGAAGGCCACCCACCAAACCAGGCCATTGTGCTTTGGGTGGAAACTCCTAAGTCCTATAGTCTCCTTAAACAGCCAACCACACTGCCACTTTCCTCAATAATTACTGCAGCCCTGAGACTTTGGTAGCCTAGTAACTATAACTACTGATGCTACAGTCTGGTCACAGTATGATAAAACACCAGAGCAACAAAAACAAAAATATTGACTTAAGCCTTCTAAAATCTCTCTAAATATACCTTCAATAAATATGTTTTTTTCTACAGAACAACTGCTTTCTACTTCCTGAACTAACGTTTGGCCTTGGATTTTTCTCATTGTTGAAATTGATTCAAAAGTATACATTTAACATGAAGGTGATTATAGAATTTCATGTGTCAGCAACTAAAATTTTCAAAATGATGCAAAATACAAATGTGAAATTGTATTTGTGAACTTTACTATTCTTTCAAATTATATTTTCATACTTACCCATTCACACAATTTTTTATAACTATGTGCATGTTCTCCTCAGATGGGAGAAAAACAGTATCAGAGTTCTTGAGTAAAAGATAGAATGACAATACTATGCAAGTTTAACTTATACACAATACCGTATTTAGTGAATGAAAAATTAGTTTTAAAAACCTACTAAAGTATTGAGTAAGCAAATAAAACATTTTATTTCAATAATTCTAAAAGATGTGTACATGAAGAAAATAGAACAATGATTAAAATACATAAACAAACAAATGAGGCCGGCTGTGGTGGCTCATACCTGTAATCCCAGCATTCTGGGAGGCCAATGAGAGCAGACCAGTTGAGGTCAGGAGTGTGAGATGAGCTGGGCAAATACAGTGAAACCTAGTCTCAATTAAAAATACAAAAATTAGCTGGACATGGTGGCATGTGCCTGTATTCCCAGTTCCTCGGAAGTCTGAGGCAGGGGAATTGCTTGAAGCTCGAAGATAGAGGTGGCAGTGAGCTAAGATCGTGCCATTTCATGTCAGCCTGGGTGACAGAGCAAGATTGCATCTCAAAACCAGTAAACAAACAATCACACACCCCAAAAACTAACAAACAGCAACAAAAAAAATCTGTAGTAGAGAAAGTACTCACAGCCAAATGCACATATCTAACAGAAAAAAAAAATCCTTTAAAAGTTCCAGAAGGGGCAAATAAGAAAACAAATTTAAAACCTCACATATAAAATATAAATAGTAAATTGAAAAGAACCACAAGGAAAAAAAATCAAAATTTACAAGTAAGTACTCTAAAGAAGCTGAAAGTCCCTCAAAAACTTTCTAGAATCTATGTCCCTGTATTGAAAAAATGATCATAAAAATTGCCAGGAGTAGAACAATAAAAATGCTTTTTAAAACTTGATAAACTCTTCAAGTCTCACATAAGAATTGTAATGGAAAATGGATCAGTCAGCAGTTTTTTCCATACAATTATGAACAAATTATATTTCCTCATACACAGATTTGTTTTTTCAATATTCTAAGGAATTAACTTTTATACTAATAGTAGGTGATGTAAGAAAGCAGGTCTTCATCAAGATAACTGACACTGGATGTCCATACCATTACTCAGGTGGGCCTTAATTCCCAGCCAGGTTCCCTCCCTGGACACACACTGAAGGTCCCCAGCCATTTTGCAATCTCTTCACATTTCCTCCCCTGGAGGAAACTCTAAAATACATGTGCATGAAGAAAATAGAACATTTCCTCACACTGGAGCTTAGTGTGGTCCTCCAGATTCCCTGTGCAGTGGCCTGTCTCATCTGGGAAGGCAGGGCAGTGGGGATGAGGATGGCAGAGATGAGAATGCATGTCAGGGGAGCCCGGCTTCATCAAAACACAACATGACAGGCCTGGGAGAAACATTCTGAAAGGATGTAGACCTAGACGGGCCTCCTGTGGACATCTGTGTGGAGAGAGAGAGCACCCTGGTTGAGCTCAATCTGAGACCCAGGTGGTAGCAAGCCTCAGGGCAGGGGAAGGAGCTGGCAAGTGATGATAAGACAGCTATCCCTTAAGCCTTGCTTCTCACCCACTGACCTTAGCCACATATGCATTGTAGGTGGATTAGGGTTCCCCAATCCTGAAATGTGGGTGTTGCAGTTCCCTAATGGGCCTTTCTCTCTCAAACCATAAATGGCCTGGGATTGCTCACTGCAGTCTCCTCCATGATCTTTGGATTCTCTGTGTGGGGCACAGATCCAGGACTCAAAGGACTCTCAGATCCTAGCCCTAGGCTGCTCACCTGCCCTCCTCTCTGTTTCCCTCTCTAATACCATCCCTCTCTCCCTGGGGCAGTACTGCAACGGATTGAGACATAGGCCCTGGCTGATGATCTGGGGGACTGCAGAAGGTCGTCCAGGAAAGGTCAGGTCATGGCTCAAAGCCAATTCCCCAGAAGCCAAGGAATGACCAGTGAGGTCCTTTCCCATGATGCCCCACCGCAGCCCTCACCGCGACTCCCACCTCAGCAATCCTGCGAAAACCCAGGCACTCATGTTCAGCCAAACAGCTGAACAAGCTCAGGTAGGTGATGTTCTGCCTGCAGCTGGAGGCTTGACCCTCATGATCCCAGAACCACTGGACTGCAGTGGAATGAGACACCCTGTACCCTGGAGGGAGAGGAGTCAGGAAGGTTCATGCCAGGCTGACCCTCTCACACACCAGCTCCCCTACCATGCTGGGAGGTACTCCTTACCGAGGATACCAATGGTAGTACTCCTTAATTATCACTTCATTATGAAAGTAAAGGTTGTGACGAAAGGAAATCTTCATCCTGCTGCCAGTAACTGGGATGGCTGAGTTCCCTCACCTGCCTGACCAAGAAGGATAAAGTAGACAGACTCAATGGCACCATTTCATCTAGCTGGGCTGAGGTGGCCTGCTAGCTGGAGTGAAGCATGAGTTTCCCCTTCGTAGCTCTGCCACTGAGACATCCCCGGGCCCCAGGGGACCTCAAACTGCTTCAGATACCAGACCCCTCCCACAGACCCAAGCTCCCCAGCCTGACTTAAAAATCCATCATGTACCAAAACAGGACTTCATCATGGTTTCTCACACAGGATCTGGGTGTGCCAAACAATATACCTTTGGTCAAAGAGCCTCCAGTTGATTGGGTGGGCAAGCCTCATGACACCCTGAAACTTTGAAAGAGCACAGAGAATGTGGAGCAGGGTTATCTCCCAGACATTTGGCCTGCCATCGTCCTTTTTTGGTCCTCTGTCTCTGTCTGGCAAGGAGGCAATGCCACAACTGTGGTGGTTTTTTCGGGGGGTGGACCCCGGCCAAGATGTCCTGGGCTGACCAGAGACAGGAGGCAGAAAAAGTGGACAGGTGGTTGCAGCTGAAGGGGCGGGGGGCAGTGTGGTGTGAGGCAGCTGATTCCTCTGGGTTCATGAGCTGCAGGAGGCCCTTGTGTGCTGGGTGCTGGACACGCTCTGCAGATGTCCAGGTGTGTGGTGTCCTCTTATCCTGGTCTCCCTGAGGGGTGGTTCTGTCCACTTAAGGGAAGCCTTGTAGATAGAAGGGTCTGTAGGGTTTTGCCTGGTGCTTCCCATGGGAATTGCATGGGTGCAAAGGAGGTTATATATGCTCAGGGCCTACACCCCTTTGGGTGCAGCACCTCAAGGGGAAGAAAGTGTATCTGGGTAGCTGGTGCCTGCCTTGTGGAGGTCAGCAGCCCCATGCACCGCGAAGCCGTCTTAAGCACCTTGTTTCTGGGGTGAGGCTGTTGGAAACAGGCACTGAGAGCAGGGGTGGTTCAATGGCTGGCAATGGCATGCAGACTCCTCATCCTCCAGGGAATTTCCCAGGGAAACTTGCCCTTCAACTTTGTGCTGTGCCTGAAGGGACCTTGGCACCGTGATTCTCCCTTGTGAGTGCTGTGCCTGGCTCCCCGTCCTTACTATGCGGTCCCAGGGTTCCCACAAGCAAGCTGGCCTCATATCTGCAGGAACCTGGCCTCAGCTCCCACCCTGTCCCCTATCCCCTGCCTCCTGGCTGACCCCATGTGCCTCCCTCCTGGTTTCTCCCCCGACTCAGCCCCCATTCCCCCCCTGAAGCCTGATGCCCATCCGCAGCTGCCAGCCATCCCAAAGGGGCAGCCTCAAGGATATGGCTCTGGCCCAGAAGCTGGAGATGCCCTGTGGCATAGGGTATTCAAGGAGCCCAGCTCCAAGTGATGGACCTCCAGTGAGTCCATTGACGGCCCAGTTGTGCTGGGTCCAGGGCCAGGCTGTGCCCACTCGTCTATCTTCTGCCACTCCATGTCGGTCTCCTCCTCAACCACCACCTCCACATCAATCATTATGACTTCCACCGTCAGCACCGCCTCCTCTTCCAAGGCTACTTCCTTGCTCTGTGCCCCGTCTGTCCTGTCCAGCAGAGCCTCCAGCCTGAACATGGTGCCCTCCTGGATGCTCCCACAGACCCCGGCCTGTGCAGCCCAGCCCATCCTCAGCACCCCTAGGCCCTGGGGGCCGTTCCCCAGGAGGCCCGCTCCCCAAAAGACCCACAGGCCTCAAGCTGCTAAGAACATATTCCCACACCCATGTGGACCCAGGTTTCCTGATGAGCCCCTGCTTGCCCCCGCAGATCGCCTCACTCACCCTGGGACTCAGGTCCCCAGCAGTGTCAACTCCACACAGGAGATCAGGAGCTGGAGGCAGAGGCCCTGGGCTTGTAGAGCCCCACCAACAGGCACCACAGCCGCTGCTGCACTTGCAGGAGCCTATGGGTTGGCAAGGCAGTGCACAATAGCGTGCACGCAGGCCGTCTATGGCCAACCCTGCTGGCTGGCCTCTGGTATGCCCAGGGCATAGGATGAGAGGCCCTTTGGAATGCTTCTTGGAATACAGCATCCTCAGGGAGGAAGCATTGTATGCGGAGCCTGTATTTGCCTAGACCTGCGAGAGTGTTTGCCCGGGTTCTGGCCTCTGGAGCAGACGAATTCAACCTCAGCACAAGCAGGCAACTTTCCTCCCACGCGCCCGCCCTGACCCACTTTCCTCCGGCCACTCCCCCTGCCCTTGCCCCAGCAGCCAGAGAGAGTTCTCTGGATGTGCACTATTCCATACTATCTACCTGGCCTGCCTAATGAAGTGAGAGGTTTCATGTGTTCCCTGTGGGTCAATGGCTTGCCACGCCCAGGATGTCATTTAGGGCACATGGCTTCCATGCCCACAATTCCAAAGGCCACTCAGCCCGCATGTGCCTGGATGCAGCGCTACCTGGCACAAGCTCTGAGAGCTTCTCGGAGGAGGCTTACCCCGGGAGACTGGGACTGCAGGCCAGCCTCGAGTGAGGCCACCCAGGGAGACACCCACCGCCCTGGCACTGATTGGCCGTGCTGCGGAGACAGGCAGTCTTGGAGTGGCTCCCGGTGCCCTTTGCATGCAATCTGTTAGGGGGCGCCTGGAAGCCCGGCGCATGCCCCCTGAGGGCCTGCTGACCCAAGGGGTTCAATAAAGGTAGCTGCAGGGTTCTTGTCGCGTGGGTCGGGCAGCATAGGTGTTGGTCTGTGGGAGTTCGAAGAAGGGTACCGTCTTCAGGATGGAGGCTCTACAGGAGGGGGCGCCCGGGGCGCTGAGCGAGGAGGCTGCCTTGGAGGAGGAGGTGGTGCAGGTGGCGGATGACATAATGGCGGAGGTGAAGGTGGTGGCCCAGGAGGAGGCCGACGTGGAGTGGTAGGAGGAGGACCAGTAGGCACAGCCTGGCCCTGGGCCTATGACTCCAGAATCTACACTGGAGGAGCTGCTGGCTGTTCAGGTGGAGCTGGAGCCGGTTAATGCCCGAGCTAAGAAGGCGTTTTCTCAGCAGAGGGAAAAGATGGAGGAGAGGTGCAAGTCCCACCTGGGCCGGAGAGGCGACATCATTCAGAGCATCCCTGGCTTCTGGGCCAATGGTGATTCCTTTTCAGTGTTTCTTCTGCCTTTCTAGTTGAGAGGTGCTCTTGGGGAAGTGTAAGTAACATACAGGCAGCTCTGTGTCGACGTGACTATTTGGGGACCAACGGTGAGTTGCCATGGACAAATGTGACCATGGAAAGCCAGAGCAGACGTGGGTACTGTTTTCCTGCATGTGGCAATGAAACCCTTCGTGATGCCTAGCAGCAGATATTTGCGGCATCTTTTTGAAGAGCAGAAGCGAGTTCAGACCAGAATAGGTTTTTCTGTGAATCAAGCTATTTTTAAGGAAATGTGATTGCTCCCCCTTGCCAATCCAATCTGGGACTGGGCGTCTTCAGGTATAAGCAGATTCTACCACTCCTCAGACACCAGCACCTCTCTGCAAATCGCCCCTCTCCATGTCAATGCAGTTAGCCTCAGAATTACACACCCTCCGTGAACCCAGCAGGACTTAATTCAGGGGGAGGGAGAGGAGAAACGGAGGTCATATGTGGAAGCAAATCTGAGAAATCCCCTACCTCCTACCTCCGCCTCTGGGTACTCTTAGGCCTTCTTCCCTGTTGCTTCTAGCTTTACCTCCCATCACATCTAAAGTCTCTTTGACCTAAGTCAGATTGCGAACCACCCCCAGATGTCATCACTGATCACTGACTAAGATGAAGACAGGCTGAGCTACATGATCAACTTGTAGTTGAGGCCGGGAAGACTGAGGTTAGAGAGTAGAGTGGGAAGGGCAAGGGAAATAATTCATTCCTGTAAGCAACAGTGGGCACCTCACCCAAAAAGGTATTTAAGCTTCCTCCACATTGTCCTGACAGGTGGAAGAAGTGAAGCATCCTGTTCATCTCTGCAAGATCATGTTGTTCTTTCTGACGCCCCCTACTTCCAGAATAAAGTGATTACCGAGGAATATCTCGTGAACGTCACAGGTACAGGTGGCTCCCAAGATAGGTAGTGGAAGGAAGATGGTGGGTGGATCATTGCCAATGTGATCCAGCCCCCTTCCCACAAAATCATGTCTTTGTAAAATACAGGGCTTCTCATTCCACTCCAATTCAGTGGTATGAGGATTATGAAGTGGAGGCCTGTGGCCACAGACACTACAACAGCGGCCTTAACTTATTCAACTGGTTTTCTGACCACAACTTCACAGGATCTAATAGGATTGCTGAGGTGGGTCCTCGCTGGGAAACATCAGGATGACCCCGGTGTGTTCCCAGTTGCTTGGGTCACCATTCTGAGCCCTGATGAGGCCTTTCCCTATTGATTCCCCTGATAGATCCTATGTAAGGAACTGTGGTGCAATCCCCTGCAATACTACATAAGGATAAAGCCATCTGAAGAGGGAAGAGAGATTTCAGGTGAGCCATTCAGTTGTAATTGGAGCTGTTTGATTGCCACTATGAGGGGTCTGACACACCTCCCTATTTAGGGAGCCTGGGGGCTCATTTCAGAAATGTAGAAGTTGAGGCTCCCTTCATACAAGTAGAAATTCCTTGATAGGAAGACAGAGAGTGACAAAATCCAGAACATTCAGGCCATTGGGCTGAAAAAGCCACATTAGACACTGGACTGCAAAGCAGGTTATAGCTGTGGAGTCTAAAGCCCGGGGAAGCATAGTACATGTCCAGACTCACTGAGAAGTAAAGCTGAATAATTAACTTCAATGTGTGGCACTTGATTCCGTGGCCATCAACCCCACTGGCAGTCATCCTACCAACCCCTTAAGATTGGGCTCCCTGAATGTGCCTCCTTGTCATCCTTGCCGCAAACCACAAGACTGTTTAGATTAATGGATTTTCTTAAGCTATTGCCTCAACATATTTCTGTCTGCTTTTAGTGTACAATGCATCTTGTTAGCTGACTCCCATCACAGAGAATACTGGGAATGTGGCAGATATTGCAGATAACAGTTTGTAACACATGGTAGGAGGAAGTTTAAGAGATCACAAATGGGGAAGGGATAGTCTTTTCTAGGCAGGCCCTAAAATTAAAACATTTTAAAGTATGGCTCAGAAGAAGTGCATTTTGACATATGGTTGTTTTTCTCTAGGGGACATCCAGATTTTGAGTTGAATGTGATGGAGCATCAGACTTTAACTAAAACAGCACAACTCCTAATAAGTTACTATGGTATGCAGGATTTCAGTACTCAGCATGGTCTTATGCACAGGAACTAAAGGAAAAACAGACCCAGTCACAAAAAATGCAGACAGGAAAAGGGGATAAACTTGGATTGTATGGAATGAAAAATAAACACTATTAAAGATATGTGACTCTGTGTGTGTGTGTGTGTGTGTGTGTGTGTGTGTGTGTGTGTGTGTTCATCCCCTGGATTCAGGTGTCATAATGAATAGGTCAATCCATATGTTTCATTCTCTTCATGGAAATGACCAGTCTATGTTGGAGCTGGGCCTCTAAAGTTGTAGAGTGAATGAGTGTGGAATGTTTTGGTATTCTTCCTACAAGACAGAGTTGGGGAGGTAAAAGAAAGAGAAGATAGGCTACTTCTTATGGAAGCAGAGGTATTTCAAGGAAAGGGGTTAATGGGCACTAAGATATCCAGGGCCCAGTTTGCTGGGATAAGGTACCTCCAAAATCCTTCATTTTGGGCATCATCAGACACACTAAGATAGCACAAGATGATGCAAATCTTAAAGTTCACTTTCTCACATGTTCTCTTTTTAAAGGTGAATGCATAATCCTTTTCTGGGACAATCAGTCTCTCAGTACGAGGGGTCCCATCAATGTGAGAAGAAATGGGCATGTAAGGTTTATGGAGGGACTGTGGAAAAGGTTACAGAGGCATGTGGGAAGGCGTTCAGGATACACCTCTTTTTTTCTGTCATAGGTGACTAAGGGAAAACACAGACATACAGAAGTCAGGGGAAAGGGGGTGGATTTGTGGAATTTAAGATTGCAGGGGGATCGACGCATGGACTCTCTGTCACATGATAACCCAGGATATGGACACTGTTGTTGATGTTTACATCTTTAGTTCAATAATGTATGTAGCTAACAGCATTAGAAATGCATTTTGTGCTCATGTAAACCATCATGAGGATCTAGTCTCCCCAATGATTGCAACTGCAGACTGTTTCTGGAGCCCAGGGCCCTTTTACTTTCTGTGGCCTTTTCAGCATACTTTGCATAAGGTTAATAATGTAAAGAGTCTGAGTGGAGAAGCAGATTGGTGTCTGCACTCAGGGCTACTCAGATTGGGAAATGTCTGGGCACTTGCCTGTAATCAGGTCATGTGAAAACGTCTTGCCCCAAATTTAATGCATAGGAAAAAGTTGAGGAAAGGATCTTGCAATAATTTTTCTAGGAGATAAATGATAAGGAAAAGACTGTAAGTCAATGCCAGGGCTAGTTTTGGAGCTAGGCTGTTTTAAAATGGTGGTACAGGAAGAGCTTTTCCCAAGGCAGGCAGCAAACCAGCAACTGTCCACAGTGGATGGACATGCCATGGGCTGGTGGCTCAGCCATATTGTCAACCCCACCGAGCGAACATGGCTGACTGGGCTTCTTCCTCGAATCCTACATGCAGTTCAGTCTAGTGATTTAACATAAGCTCCATTGTTTAGGTATTATCAGAGATCGTGCTGAATCGTACAGTCTGTCCAATGCTTCTTCCACTGAATATCCATGCACATGGGGCACAGATGCTAAGGTCACTGACGAACTTGCATTCTGTCTCAGTAACTCTGAAACACCTCTGTCATTTCTAGTTTCAGGGTCTTGGTGTTTTTTAATGTTTAAACTGCCAAGTGTGTCTCTGTATTTGTGTATGTTTATTTCTCTGTGTGGGTTTGTATCTTTTCTCTGACTCCACCTATGTCTCTGTCTGTCCGATATGTTTCCACACTGCCTGTGTTAATTTGTACACGCCTATCTCTACAACCATGCTAGACTTTGTATCTGTGTCTTTGAAAACCTATCACTCTCTCTCCCTTCCTTATTTCCTTTCCTTCCCTTACACCCCTCCTTTCATCCTTCCCTTCCTTCCCCAACCCCCTCTCTCCATCTGCATCATCTATCTTCCAATCCTCTATCTGAATTTAGTTTGTAATTCTGAATCTGTCAGCAGTGGCATCAGATTATTGTTTTCATGGCTGGATGAAATTCCTCTTATAAAGAATGTCAGCTGAAGGAGATGAATTCTTTTTGTGAGCCATAATGAACCATTTATTTCAGCCTTATCTAGCAAAGACAGTGTTAAAAAAAAAATAACTGGGCATTACAGCAAAGCGAAAAGTCACATGGATCCTACTCATCCCACTAAGTATATCCAATAGGTGGAAAAGTGAAAAAGTGGGTTATGCCTGTGGTCTCCAAAGTGGAATGGGAACTTTCAAAAGACTCTGTCAGATCATTTTCCAGGAGGCAGCTATAGATCACAGATAAAGTGTTTCGTAAACACAAGCTCAATGATGAAATGAAGAAAATGTACTTCTTCCTACATTTTTATTTGGTATTATTCTTTTAACAAGCATCATGTATACAGCATTTTTTCATGACATGTCATAAACTATTGTTTATTGAACTCATATCTGAGTTCTTCATTGTGTCAACAATGTCAAAGAATCATGATTCGTTATGACCTGCTACAGATAAGTGATGTGAAATAACAAAGTGAGAGTGTACAGAAAAAAGGGCAGATCATGGTCTCAGAACCTCACCAAGAGGTTCAGGTGAGCTGAATGCATGTCAGGGATTCAGGAAAAGACAATTATTATTAAGGGTTTGGAAGCCAAAGGAAGTACTCTTTGTACATTCATGTCTTTTAACTCATTTGGGGAGTTTGGTGAATTATTATTTACATGTTCTCTCTGCCCTTTCTCATTGTTCTCCCCATCTTTGGCTGTTATTATGTGAAAGCTGGTTTCTTTCATTGGATCATATAGCCTTTGATGATGCTTTGTTTATTTTGATTCTCCTCACACTACATTGTTTTAATTTGCATAATGTGACTCTTATTTTTGTTTGTTTTCTGAGAATGGGTCTTACTCTGTCTCCTAGGTTGGAGAGCAGCACCAGGATCTCAGCCCACTGCAGCCTGGACACCCCACTCCCATGTGATCCTCTCAACTCAGACTCTCACATAGCTGGCACTACAGATGCATGCCACCCCTCCCAGCGACATATTAATTAACTAATTAATTACTTTTTAGACGTGGGCCCTTGTTGCCCCAGGCTGGGTTGGAACTCCTGAGTGTAGGCAATCCTCCCACCTCAGCCTCTGAAAGTGTTGGGATTACAGGTGTGACCCAGGGCCCTGGAATGGCTTTTTGAGTTTTTTGCTTTTTCCTTCTGCCTGCTCACGTCTTCTTTTGAAACATGCAGTGAAGGTTTCCGTTCATGTACTATATAGTCTATGGACCTGTGATTTCTATCTTTCATTGATCATCTACATTGGGATTTATTTTTATTTTTATATATATTTTTTAACTTACCAAACTACGTTGCATTCTGTCCTGTGTCATGAAAAAGACATTGATACAGGTAGAAAAGAAAAGCACTTCTTTATAATAAAATAGTTTATCAACATTGATTCTCTTAAGGAATTTTAAAAATTGTATGTTTATTTTTTAAATTGACATATGAAATGATACATATGTATAACTTATAGGGTGATGTTCAAAAGGTCATGTATGTTATGCACTGGATACATCCAGCTAATCAACACATGCATGACCTCATATACTTGTTATTTTTGTGGTGATAAAACTTCACATGAACTCTCTTAGAATTTTTTAGAGAAAGAATGTGTTATCACTAGTTATAGTCAGCATGCTTTAGAAAAGGTTTTTAACCTATTCCTCCATTCTAACTAGAAATATGAATTCTTGATCCGACATCTCCTCAGCACCCTCTTCACTAAACACCACCCCAGCCGTTGGAGTCACTACCTCTGTGAGGTCTGCTTTTTAGATTTCATATAGGAATGAGGTCATGTGCTATTTGCCTTTCTGATACCTGGCTTATGTCACTTAACAAAATGGCATGCACACATTCACCAGATTCACAAGCATTGTCACAACTGGCAGGATTTCCTTCTTTGTTATAGCAGCCCATTTTTCCATTGGGCATATGTGCCCCATTTGTTATCCACTCATCAACTGAGGGATACTCAGATTGCTTCTGTATTTTGGCTACAGCAAAAATGTAAATAGTGCAGCAAAAATTGCATCGGTGCATGCACCGCTTCAACATACTGTTTTGTGTATTTGTGGGTATTCCTCGGTATTCCGATTTGCTGGATCATATGGTGGGTGGTTCTACTTGTAGATTTGTGAAGCCTCTTTCTACTTAAATAAAAGCCTTAAAGCTTCTTGCCATGCCTGCCATAATTTACATTCTCACCAAAAGTGTGCAAGAATTTCCTTTTCTCTGCATGCTTACCAGAAATGAGCTTTTTTAAAATCTTTTGGATAATAGGCATTCTGACTGAAGTGAGATGAAATCTCATTGTGGTTTTGATTTGCATTCTCCTAATGTATTAAGGATGATGAGTGCTTTTTAATGTGTCTTCTGGGCAGCTGTATGTCTTTGTTTCACAAAAAGTATTCACATCTTTAGCCCATTTGTTTTCATGCTATTGAGTTGTTGGAATTCCTCATGTACAGTAAATATTCACCCATTAACAGCTCTATGGTGATCCAATAATTTCACCCATCTTGTAGGATGTCCCTTCCCTCTGTTTAGTTTCCTGTGGTGTGCTGAAGCACTTTAGTTTGATATAATGACATTCTCTATTTTTGATGGTATTTACTGTGCTCTTGCAGTCACTTTGATACCATCATTGCCCACACTGATGTCATGGAGCTTCTTCTTTGTGATTTCTTTTGGTATTTCTATTGTTTCAGGTCTGATAATGGAGTTTGGTGAGAAATAATCTACTTTTAAGATCCTTCATGTGGATATTTAGGTTTTCCCCAACCTAGTTTATAGAAGATACTTGATTTTGCATTGTGTGTTCTTGCTTCTTTGGGAAAAGGTCATGAGCTACTAATGCAGTGACTTAGTTCTGGGCCTCTGTTGTTTTTCATTAGCTCAGGTCTCTGTTTTTCTGCCAGTGCTGTTCTATTTTGGTACATAAAACTTTGTAGTAGATTGTGAAGTTAGGTAGTGTGATGCCTCCAGCTTTGTGCTTTTTACTGGATTGCCCTGGGTCTTCAGGATCTTCTGCCATTTCATAGCAAATTTAGGATTCTCAGATTGGTTTTCTGTGAAGAGTGGGTCATTGATATTTTTACAGGCATTGTATGGAATCTGTAGATCACTAGGTAGTACTGATGTCAATCCCATTTAGACAATATGTGTGTTTGTGTGCACATTCTCTGGACAAAGAGACACTGGGTGTCCTCACCAATAGTGAGGTGTGCCTTAATGCCCAGCCAGATTGCCTTCCTGGACACACACAGAAGGTCCCCTTCCATTTTACCATCTGTTCACATTTCCTCCCCTGTAAGCCCTGTGTGGTCATCCAGATTCCCTGTGCATTGGCATGTCTTTTCTGGGGGTAGGCAGGGCCTGAGTGAATGAGGATGGCAGAGGGGAGAAAGCATGTCAGGGAAACCCAGGGTCATCGTAACAGAAAATGATGGGCCTGGGAGAGCCATTCTCGGAGGACGTAGACGCAGGCCTCTGCAGGACATCTGCTTGGAGGCTGAGAGGGCCCTTGCTGAGCCCAAACTGAGCCCTAAGTGGTAGCTAGCCTCAGGACAGGGAGGGGAGCCATCAAGGGATGATGAGACAGCTACTCCTTGAGCCTCGCTTCTCACCCACTGATCTTAGACACTTATGCCTCTTAGGCAGCTTAAGGATCCCTAATCCTGAAATGTGGTGTTATAGTTTCCTGATGGCCATTTCTCTGCCAGCCCATGGATGGCCTGGGATTGCTCACTGCAGTCGCCTTCCTGAGGCTCAGGTTCTCCCTGTGGGGTACAACTTCAGGAATCAAAGGCCTCTCTCAATCCCCAGCCCTAGACTTCTCACCGGGCCTGCTCTCTGTTCGCTCTCTAATAGCCTCCCTCTCTCCGGAAGTACTGCAAGAGATTGAGCCACAGGCCCTGGCTGATGATCTGCCGGACTGCAGAAGTGGGTACAGGTTAGTTCAGGTCATGGCTCAAAGCCAATTCCCCAGAGGCCAAGGAATGAGCAGCAAGATCCTTTCCCGTGATGCCCTACCTCGGCTCCCACCTCAGTAATCCTGCTAGAACCTGGGCAGTCATGGTCAGCCAACCAGCTGAAGAAGCTCAGGTAGGAGCTGTACTGCCTACAGCTGGAGGCTTGACCTTCATGATCCCACGACCACTAGACTGCAGGGAATGAGACATCCTGTGTCCTGGAGAGAGAGGAGTCAGGAAGGCTCATGCCAGACCTACCCACCCACACACAACCTCCTCTACCACACTGGGAGACACTCCTTACTGAAGATGCCAACTCCTGAATGATCACGTCATTGTGGAAATATAGTTTGTGATGAAAAGAAAACTTCATCCTGCTGCCGGTACCTGGGATGGGTGACTTCCTTCCCCTACCTGGCCAAGAAGGAGAAAAAGGATGGACTTAAAGGACCATTTCATGTAGCCAGGCTGAGGTGACCTGCTAGCTGGGGTAAAGCATGCATTTCCCCTTCCCAGCAATCCTGCTGAGACACCTCCAGGCCCCAAGGGAACCTCAACATGACCCAGACATTGGAACCCTCCCACAGACCCAGTTTCCTTAACCTGACCTGCAAATCCATCATGTAGCTTAGAAGGACTTCATCATCATTTGTGATCCCGGCCAGCTTGGGTGTGCCACACAATCTGCCTCTGGTCAAGGAGCCACTAGATGATTGAGTGGGTGTGTAAGGAGACACGCTGCAACTTTGCAAGAGCATGGAGAGTGTGGGGCAGGGTATTCCCCAGGCCTTTGGCCTGGCACCTTCACTTCCAGGTCCTCTGTTTCTGTCTGGTGTGCGCGGCACTGTCACGGCTATGGTGGTCTTATTGGCGAATGGAGGCAGGCCCAAACAGCCTGCTCTTACCAAGGGTGGGCACAGAAGAAGTGGGCAGGGGGTCAGGGGTAGGGTGTTGTGGGGTGAGATGGCTACTTGCTCAGGGCTCCTGAGCTGCAGGAGGCCCTCTTGTGCTGGGTGCTGGACAGGCTCTGCTGCTGTCTGGGTGTGTGGTCTGCCCTTCTCCTGGTCTCCCTGAGGGATGGGCGCGTCCACGTGATGGAACAGCTGTATGTAGAAGTGGCTGCAGAGCTGTGCCTGGCTCTCCCCATGGGGCTCAAGTGTTTTCAACAGAGGTTATATATGCTCAGGGCCTAAACATCTTCGGGAGCAGTGCTGGCATAGGGAAGAAATCATGTCTGGGGAGCTGGTGACTGCCTTGAAGAAGACATGGCAGCCCAGTACATTGTGAACCCCAGTCTTGAGCACCTTGTGTTTCTGGGGTGAGTCTGCTGGACATAGGCACAGGGTGCGGGGGTAGTTCCATGGCTGTCATGGGCATGAAGACTCCCTTTCCTCCAGGAACTTTCCCAGTGAAACATGTCCTTCAACTTTCTGCCGTTTATGAACCGTCCTTTGCGCTGCTCTTCACCTTTGTGAGTGCTGTGCTTGGCTTCCTGTCCCTACCATGTGCCCTGAAGGCACCTGCAATTAAGCTGCCCTTCTATCTGCATGAGCCTGTCCTCTGTTCCCCTCATTGTCCCCCATGTCCTGAATCCTGGCTGACCCCCAGTGCCGACCACCATGTTTCCCCCAACCCTGCTCCCGGGAGCTCGGTGCCCACCCACTGCTGCCAGCCATCCTGAATTGGCAGCTTCAAGGATATGGCTCTGGCCCAGAAACGGGGGATGCCCTGTGGCCTGTGGCATTCACGGAGCCCAGCTCCAGGTGAAGGACGTCCAGCAATTCCGTTGCCGGCCGGGGTGTACCAGGGCCAGGGCCAGGATATGTCTGCTCGTCCTCCTGCTACCACTCCACATTGGCCTCCTCCTTGGCCACCACCTCCATCTCTGATGTCAGCCCCAAGTAGCATGCCTCTTCCCCCAGGGTTGCCTCCCTGCTTTGTGCACAGTTTCTCCTGCAGAGCCTCCGCCTTAACACAGTGCCCTCCTTGAGCCTCCCACAGACTAAGGCCTGTGCCACCCACCCCACACCCCAGCACCCCTAGACACTTGGGTCAGCTCCCAGAGAGGCCCACGGGGCTTGCCCTACTGAGAACACCTACGTGAATGCAGGGTTCCTGGGGAGCCCCGCAGTCCTGCAGCCTGCCACACACTCGCCATGGGGCCCAGATACCCAGCAGTATTAGCTGTGCACAGCAGCCCTGGAGTCGGAAGCCGAGGCCCTGTGCTTCCAGAGCCCTGCTAGTAGGCACCACGGCCACTGCTGCACTTGAGGGACCCTCTGCGCCAGAAGGCACTGCAAAGGGTCATTGGATTGGCGAGTATGTTGGCTGGACTCCCGTGTGCCCAGGGCAGAGGATAAGAGGTCCTTTGCAATGCCCCTGTGAGTACACCATCCTCAAGGAGGAAGCATGGAACTCGGAGCCTGTATTTGCCTAGATATTAAAGAGTCGTTGCGGTTTTCATCTTCTGGTGCAGACGAATTCCACCCCAGCAACGTACCAGTCGACTTTCCTCCCAAGGATCCGCCCTGCCCCACTCTCTCCAAGCCATCGCCAATGCCCTCTCCCAAGCAGGCAGAGCTGGTCCCTCTTTCTCCCCTGTGGATCGCAATATTCAGTACTATCTGCCTAGCCCGTCTAATGTAGTGAGATGTTTCATGTGTTCCGTGTGGGTCAATGCTTCGCCACACTCAGGATGCCAGTTAGGGTGTACGTCTTCCATGCCCACATTTCCAAAGGGCTCACAGTCCGCGTGTGCCTGAATCCACCGCCGCCCTGCACAAGCTGTATTGATGCTTATAACCACGGAAGGATGGAGCTGCAGGCCAGCCAGGGGTGGGGCACCTCGGGAGACACCTACCACCCTCACAATAATTGGCTGAAGCCCACCGCCGTGGCAATGATTGGCCGCTAGAAGTAGGTGGGATTTCCGGGCATGGCTTCTAGTGTCCTTCCAGCTCAGGCCAGCTCCAGGTGTCCTTCCCGCAGTTGGCCTTGTGGTGACCCAAAGCCAGATGCATGTGACCTGAGGGCCGGGCAACCCTCAGGTTGTTTGTCTTACTGAAAAGCACCTGTAATTTCTTTTTCTCTGGACAGGTTTGCTTTCGGCAAGAATAGAAAGCAAAGGTTTGGGATTTTATCTGTAAAAGGGGATGGGTTTTCTATGTGTGAGTGTCGAATTATGAGAGGAGACAGTGGGGAGAGAACACTTAAGTGCTATTAAGAAACTCATTTTTGTTAAACTCATTGATTTTTCTTGAGGATTCTACCTTTAGCTGTCGGACATGTACGACATGTGGGCAAGTTGTGGAAGATGGTGCTAAGGCGCCATTGTTTTCATATGCACTTTTTATTAAAGCAGTTTTTCTCTGTAAGTGTGGTCATAATTCAAAATACAGGCAATATACTTAACCACTGTGATTAAAAACTTATACTTTTAGTCAGCACATGTCACATGTCTGATTTGCTTGGCAGGAATTATCAAATTTTGACATAAATTGTGTTACTTCAGTGTATATAGAAGTCTGGGGCCATAAATAATCTCAGTTTAAATTTGCCTCTGTAAAGCCTGTAATTGTCTCCTTCCTTGTATGACAGTATTTGAAACATGTTTCATATGTCTCTAGCACGGTAAATAACGTAAAGTGAATAAGTGGGCATAATCGAGATAAATGGAGTTAGATAGCCTACAATGGGAACAAAATAGATGCGCTTAACTATCCATTAACCTGGCACACTGACTTACTCTTGTAATTCTAGCATTTTGTGAAGTGGAGGTAGGAGTATGGCTTGAGGTCAGGAGTTGGAGACCAGCCTTGGTAACATAATTGACTCCTTTAATCTATTGCCATTTTAGCATCAGGGACTGGTTTAGTAGAAGACAATTTTTCCTCAGACAAGGGTTGTGCAGGGGAAGAAGGTGTAGAGATGGACACGTTTGGCAGTGGGGGGCTGGTGGCAGGGCCCGAGGGGCAACTGGTGGGACGGGGCTTCTGGTGGGAGCAGTGTGACAGGGGACAGGTGGGGCTGCGGGGCTGCCACAGGGGCAGGGTGGGGCAGCGGGGGAATAGAGAGGATGTTTTCCAGATGAAAATGTACCACCTTAGGTCATCCTCAGGCATTACATTCAGGCCACAGATAGGTACGGGTTGAAGGCCAGGTTTAGCGATCCTTGACTTATTGTATATTTCAGAACACTAAAATATGGTAAAATATTTAAAATGCTCTTCCCCAAGAATATTTTAATTAGCTTGATTTAATCTTTTATCAAAATATTATGCTGGTCATGGTGGTTCACCCTTGAAATCCCATCACTTTGGTAGTCCTAAGCCGGCAGATCACTTGAGCGCAGGATTTGGAGACCAGCTTGGGCAATATGAGGAAACTCATGTCTATTTTAAAAAAGACAAAAATATTGCCCAGCTCTGGGAGAAAGTCCCTGTAGTACCAGCTACTTGGGAAAATGAGACGTGGAAAGATCAGTTGAGGCTGGGTGGAGGAGGCTGCAGTGAGCCACGCACTTTGGCAACAGGTGATAAACATCTCAAGAAAGAAAATACACAAAACATCAAACTGTACCTCATAAATATGTAGTTTTCAAATAAAATTGTTTAAATGAGGGCATCGTTCATATTGTAACTTAGGAAAATTACAATAGCTTTTCTTATCCAATTTTTAGAAACAAGATTTTGTCAGGTACATATTAAAATGCAGCATTTGTTCACGAAGTCAGTGCTCCTTTTGCTCTGTGTGTTACAAATTTTACATATTGAAAATAAGAAATATTAAAAAGATGTCAGCCTTTGAAAGGGAATTTTACTTGAGTTTTCAACACAGTGTGTAATAAAATTTTATCTTTTTAGCTTATTTATTTTTATCTAAGTATAGATAATTTTTTTACCTTTTACACAACAGTGGTAAAAGCAGATCATCTTGGCAAGCTTTTCATTGGTGGCCTACATAGAAAAACCAATGAAAAGATACTTAAAACGAATGAAAAGATGTGAAACATGGTCTGGTATCAGACGGTAACTCTTAAAACTGTGTGTGTGTGTTTGTATTTTCATATATATATATATTTCAATATGTATATTTAAAATATGTATGTTACATATATTTTGAAAATATATATATATTTTAAAGTTCATTTTATACATACATTAAAATGCCTTATCAAATTTAAACTCTTGAAGTATCTATTTGATTTTTGGAAAATTCTCATAGCAGCAGGTGAAGGGTATGTGGTAAGGATCACCTACTACTTAGAAAGGAAAATGAGAAAAAGTAAATGTGTTATGGAGTTAGGGAACAAATTGGAAAAAATAGGCTGACTATAGGGGTGACTTAGTATTAAGAATCATAGTAGTGATGTGAAATGCAATTATTTTTTGGTTTCATGTAACTTTCAGATGGTTACTACCTTGGTGAGTCCATTATATGAATGTAAAATGTTTTTATATATTTTAGTTCTTTTCATAAAGGATTGAAGCAGCAAATCTCCAGACCCTTTGCATTTGTTACTTTTGAGAACGCTGCAGATGCTAAGAATGCTGACAAAGATATGAATGGAAAGGTTAAGTGTCCCTTATTAATAATATTCTAACTCTGTTCTTCAATTAACAGTATTTCTAGGTCTTTTTAATGTTACTAAATTTTGAAGATAGTAGAATGCCATATGAAGCCATCCTCTTCTTTGTGCTATATACATGCGAGTGTAGTTGGAAGGGTATTGGAATTAACATTACATAAATTAATATATGGTAACATTTTTCTATGTTTGTATTCCAATATGAGTGTAAATAGATTTTCACAGGTTTCAAAGAGCTTTAAAACTTATAAGGAACCCTCATGTAAATGAAAGAGATAAGTCAACATTTATTAAATGCCATTAATGTAATTACTTCCAACTCATGGAAATACTTCTATAGCATAGTCAAACTGTGGATAGATATCTAGACAGACTCACAAGAAAGAAAGATTGTCTCCCATTTTCTGAAAACACATTCTTAAGAAAGTATATTTCAATAAGACCTTTACATTTAAGGAAGTGTTAAGTACTTGAAAATAGAAAATAATATGAGAACTTTGAAGTTGTATAACAGAAGTAACTGGCATTTTTGCCCCATCCTTGCTCTTTTCTCCTAAGGACATTTTTTTTTTCCTGTCACCAGAGTGATTTATGTAACATGAATACCTAATTACTCATTTCCCCTGTGTGTTGAGGACTTGTTTGATCCAGCAAATGGTCTCTTGTCCTACTGAGTCTTAAATCTGGGATTGTGTGTTTACTAAAGCTTTAAACTTTCATGTAATTCAAGTAACTATTGAATTCCTTTACACTTTAGTCAAGATCATTCCATTATGGGCCCTTTAGAGCTTTTTTGCTGTGTAACATTATCCCAATCAGGCCAGGCGTGGTGGCTCATGCCTGTAATCCCAGCACTTTGAGAGGCTGAGGCGGGCAGATCATGAGGTCAGGAGAACAAAACCATCATGGCCAACATGGTGAAAACCCGTCTCCTAAAATACAAAAAAAAATAGCCATGCATGGTGGTGTGTGTCTGTAGTTCCAGCTACTCAGTAGGCTGAGGCAGGGGAATCATTTGAAACTGGGAGGCGGAGGTTGCAGTGGCCAAGATCATGCCACTACACTTCAGGCTAGGGACAGAGCAAGACGCCATCTAAAAAAAATAACAAATAAAAATAATAATAAATAACATCCCAATCTGTTTTTAGGTCCTGTTAGTCTTCACGCTATCCCCAAAGTGCTTTTTTAGACTTCTTGAGAATTATCCTTCCCTGTGTGTGTCTCATAAATAAAATTTATGCTTCAAAAACCACTTAGATTTCATATTTTCTTCCTCATTGCATAACATAGGTATTTTGTACTCACTGTACCATGTATTAATCTATTGATTGTGAAGTTGTATATAGTGCATATTTAAGTCTTGCTAGTTGCTTCTCTTTCTGTTACATCTAGCTCACTTTCTGGCACATAGCAGAAAGTACATTTGTAGTCACTCTTATAAATTAGTGTTTTAAGCTGTGGTAGAAACCAAGAATAGCTTTTGGTTCATGGCTTTGCGGTACGTATGGAGATAATGTTGACTTATGTATACTAATCTATGATAATTTCTTTTTTCCCCTAGTTTTCAAGCAAAAGAGCAGGTAATTGGTGTAGAGTTCTTGTTTGGATGCTTATTTGTTTTTTATTGTTGAGTCTCACTGTGTCACCAGGCTGGATTGCCGTGGGTCGATCTTGGCTCACTGCAACCTCCACCTCCTGTGTTCAAGTGATTCTCCTGCCTCAGCTTCCAAGTAGCAGGGACTACAGGCACACGCCACCAGGTCCAGCTAATTTTTGTACTTTGAGTAGAGACAGGTTTTCACCCTGTTGGCCACGATCTTCTCTATCTCCTCACCTCGTGAGGATGTATTCGGAGTTTCTTCCTTCTGGTGGGTTCGTGGTCTCTGGCAGGGGGAGGGCGGAGGGGGGGCAGGGGGAGGGGAGCCGGGGCTGGCGGGGGGAGGGGATCCCGGGGTGGCAGGGGGAGGGCAGCGGGGCCGGGGTGTGGGCTCAGGCATGGCCGGCTGCAGGTCCCGAGCCCTGCTCTGCGGGGAGGCAGCTAAGGCCCCGCGAGAAATGGAGCACAGCAGCTGCTGGCCCAGGTGGTAAGCCCCTCACTGCCTGGGGCTTGTGGGCCATCCTGCCGCTCCAGTGCGGTGTCCACCGATCCCACGCCCACCCGGAACTCGCTCTGGCCCACAAGCACCGAGCACAGCCCTGGTTCCCGTCGGCGTCTCTCCCTCCTCCACACCTCCCCGCAAGCTGAGGGAGCCGGCTCCAGCCTTGGCCAGCCAGAAAGGAGCTCCCACAGTGCAGCGGCAGTCTGAAGGGCTCCTCAAGCGCCGCCAGAGTGGGCACCAAGGCCGAGGAGGCACCGAGAGCCAGCGAAGGCTGCAAGGGCTGCCAGTACGCTGTCACCTCTCAGTATCTCATTCTGGATTTGAAATGGATTTTTCTGCATCACTGATTATGAGTATCTGTTCCATGTGATTTTGGGGCATTTGCCTATTTTATTTGGAGTGAAATTTATTTAGATGTTTGGCCCTTTAATTTGGTTTTAATTGTAACTTAGTGATGTTTTGGATACTAGAAGTTGAAATTTCAAAATTGGTTGCTTAAACTTATGCACACAGAAATCATCCAAGTTCCTGAGAAACCAGGGATTATGCTCCACCACCTTGAGACTATGCATATCGTGATTATGGTCGCTCTAGTCGGGATGAACATTCCTCTAGAGGATGTAGGTACTATAACGTCATCTGGCTTTAATAAATAGATTTCTTAAATTGTTCATTCTGACATTAAGAAAACTTTTCTATTTTTTTTAGTTTAGTGATTGTGGTGGCTACGGTGAGGGCTATGGTAGAGATCATTCTGAACATCTAAGTGGAAGTTCTTATAGAGATGCATTTCAGAGATATGGTAAGGATCCTGGATGGATTTGTAAATTATAGAATTATATTTAATAGACCAGATTGTTATTTTAATGAAATTCTAAGGAAAGTTAGGAAGGACAAATATAACGTGTTTAAATATTGAGTATTCTTAACAATATAAAACATAGGGAACGATATGAAGGTGAGAACTTCATTTCAAGTTTAGAAAATGTGACTCAACCTTTACTTTAGAATTAAACTTGTCCAGCTTCAAAATACTATACTTACACTTCTTTTAAATAAGACCTACTATTGCAGGCTTAATTAATATCCTATCAACAAAGGCAGAGGAAAGCACACATTTCCAAATAGTACTTTAACTAATTCATGCTTTAGTGATAGCAGTAAAAATGTTTAAATGTAGTCGAACATATTATTTTATCAACCCTGCAGGGACCTCTCATGGTGCACCACCTGCACGAGGGCTTCGGATGTCTTATGGTGGAAGCACCCGCCATGATTATAATAATACACGAGATAGATATGGCAAAAGTCAGAGAGTTACTCAAGGAGCTGTGGTGATTTTGATTCTTGTGGTCATGAGCATGTTGGTAGAAAAGACCAAAGGAATCCATCTTCTCTGGATGGGTTGCACCCTGCTCCTCGTGAAGCATATGGAGCTCAAGTTATGTGGCATCTATAGGAGATGATGGGGAAAGTTGATCTGAAAAAGGAGACCGAAGCAGATATTAAAGCAAGTATTCAAAATAATAGTTATTGCATACCAAACCTTGTTTGCAAATCAAAAATTGACATGTTATTTCTGCATTGTTACCTGCGTGTTACTAAAAGAAACATGTTGGTTTTGTGGAGAGAGGTAGATACTAACTTCCCCCATGAATTTTTTGAAGTATTCAAAGGAAAAGGATTTTTTTTTCAAATTAATTTCCTACTTGTTAATGCTATTTGAAAACTATCTGTTTAGATGTAATATCTACATTAAAATTTTCAGAATAAAATTTTACAATGCAAAATGGCTGGTGTTATTGCTTAGCTGCACATGCTTAAAAACAAATTCAGTAGGAGAGTAAATTGTGTTGTTGAATATTTTCCTTTGTTTCTTTTAACATGAATAGATACAAAATTAGGCATATGTTATGTCTTCTTGCAAGCTGCACAAGTTTTCTAATTAGGCTGTTTCTCTTTAAAAACGTACAAGCTTAAAATGTTTGAGAAGTTTTCAGAAAGACTACAAAACTATCTGTCTCACAATAAAACGTTTATTTTTAGAGGAATAGTGTAGGTGAAAGGAAATAATTAGATGCGGTTGATACTAAAGTTTAAGATATCTGGAACATTCTACTTGCAGCATTCTGTGACTGAAGGAGGATAATAGTAATGAAAATTCTTTTTTACCTAAATCAAAAGTGAACCAGCTAAGTTTCTCAAGTGCATAGCATAATGAAATTAAATGTTCCTAGTTTAAATAGTGGAAAGTAAGTGTTTTGTCTTGGGAGGTACTCATGTTAATTTTTTCATGAAAGTTTTGACAATGGTTGTTGTAAGTAATGGTTTAGTAATAAGTTCTTACAAATGGGAAAAATCTAGAATGGTTGGGATTTTACCTATTTTTTTTTTTTTAGATGGAGCGTAGCTTTGTTGCCCAAGCTAGGGTGCAGTGGCTCCATCTTGGCTTACTGCAACCTCCGCCTTCTAAGTCTAAGCTATTCTCCTGCATCAGCATCCTGAGTAACTGGTATTAGATATGTGTGCAACCACAGCTGGCTAATTTTGTGTATTTTTAGTACAGACAGTGTTTCACCATGTTTGCCAGGCTGGTCTTAAAATCCTAATCCACCCTAGTTGGACTCCCAAAGTGCTAAGATTACAGGCGTGAGCCACCACTCTCAGCCTATCAGATTTAATTGATGATATGAATGGAAACACTTAAACCTCGTACTTTTGGGAAAGTGAAGTGTATAAAACATAAACAACAGCATAAAGTTTCAGATGAGATTGCTTAAAGGTATAAGAAATCATCAAATGATAAAAATAAAAAGATTTGGACCTAAATAACTAAACTAATTAATTGTCCTGGTTAATTCATGTGTTTTCATGAAGTTCCAGAAATACATGTAGTTCCAGAAGTTTCACAGTCTATGATTCTTATAATTAACAGACTAATCTACAAGAAGGAAGTATTTTCTTGAGAAAATTTAGAGAAGATCATCACTTTTTTAGGGTAAGGGTGTAAATAATTTTAAAGGGAAAGTTACAAACGTTGATTTTCAAGTGAGTTATTCATTTATGAAGTTGTGTTTTCATTTACCTGTAACATAGGATTGTGAGGATGAAGTGAAAAGATAAAACTCCCTGGTCTTGGCTATCTTACTGTCCAGGTGTGATGGCTCAGGTCTTTAATGCCAACACTTGGGGAGGCCAAGGCTTGCAGATCACTTTAGATCAGGAGTTGAAAACCAGGCTGGCCAACACCATGAAACCCTATTTTTACCAAAAATACAAAAATTAGCCAGGTGTGGTGGTGCATACCTGTAGTATGTTACAGTTAATTGGGAGGTTCAGGCAGGAGAATTGTTTGAACTTGGGAACCTGAAGCTGTAGTGAGCCAATGTTGCACCATGCACGTTAGCCTGGGTGACAGAGAGAGACTCCATCTCAAAAATAATTATATCAATCAACAAATATATAAATAATAAATAGGGTATCCTTCAGTTGAAGCACTTGTCGATTCTTTTTTCTTTTTTAGAGACAAGGTCTCACACTGTTGTCCAGCCTAGACTGCAGTGGCACCATCATAGCTCACTGCAGCCTTGAACACGGGGTTCAAATGTGCAAGCCTTCCATTTCAGCCTCCCAAGTAGCTGGAATTACAGACACACACCAACCACCGTGCCCAGCTTTTGTGTTTGTGTGTGTGTGGTAGGGACAATGCTTTGGATATGTTGTTCAGGCTGGTCTCAAACTTCCAGGTTTAACTGATCCTCCTTCCTTGGCCTCCCAAAGTGTTGTGATTATAGCTGTGAGCCTCTGAGTCTGGCATGTCATTTCTTGGTGTTAGCGCCATTCCACCTTTGCTCTTTTAATTGTTTTGAGATATACAATAAATCGTTACTAAGTATTCTCATCCTGTGCCACTGAACACTAGATCTTATTCCTTCTAAGCAACCATAATTGAACCCACCCCAACCCCTCTTTGATCCCTTCCTTACCAGTTTACGTTACTTGTATCAAAATATAGCATGTATGCCAAAAGTATCTGCAATTGTTATGTACACATTTTTTTAAATAAGTAAAAAGTAAATAAAAAGGGTATCTCCAACAAGGTGATAAAATAGGAGGCTCTAATTTGTTCCTTCATCCACAAATGCAACAAATAAAAAGCCACACCCACATCAATTCCCTATGAGATAAACTCAGAAAGAAGTTGGGATACTCTTGCACATACAATTATGAAAATACTCACTTTAAAAGAGGTAAGAAAAACTGAATTCTGATCTTGTTCTAGGGTTTATGTCTGACCCAGTGCCCTAGAATCAGCAGGGAACTGTTATTTCACAGCTTCTCTCAGAGGACTGAAGTACTAAACCACCTATGTAATGCCCCATCTGTTAACAGCTGCTTCTCAACGAAATGATTCCTAACTTGCCTATCTCTGAATTCTAACACAGATTGGCATTCATAACTCTCTTAGGACCTCCAAAATAAAAGAGGGATTTAAATATACATTCAAACACTTCTGAAACTGTTTCCTCCTCACTTACTGGATCTCAAGCAGTCAAGAAAGCTCAGTTCCCACTTTGTACCTTGAAGAACTTAGATTGTACATCTAACGCCTTGACTTCTTTATTCTTTTTTTCTTTTAAGATAGAGTCTTGCTCTGTCACCCAGGCTGGAGAGCAATGGCATGATCTCAGCTCACTGCAACCTCCGCCTCTCCAGGCTCAAGTGATTCCCCTGCCTCAGCCTCCTGAGCAGGTGGGATTACAGGCACAAGCCATCACGCCAGGCTAGCTTTTGTACTTTTTAGTAGAGACAAGGTTTTACCATGTTAGTCAGGCTGGTCTTGAACTCCTGACCTCAGGTGATCCATCTGTCTCAGCCTCCCAAAGTGCAGGGTTTACAGGCCTGAGCCACTGCACCCAGCCATATCTTTTTTTTTTTTTTTTTTTTTTTTTTTTGAGACGGAGTCTCGCTCTGTCGCCCAGGCTGGAGTGCAGTGGCGCGATCTCGGCTCACTGCAAGCTCCGCCTCCCGGGTTCACGCCATTCTCCTGCCTCAGCCTCCCAAGTAGCTGGGACTACAGGTGCCCGCCACTACGCCCGGCTAATTTTTTGTATTTTTAGTAGAGACGGGGTTTCACCGTTATAGCCGGGATGGTCTCGATCTCCTGACCTCGTGATCCGCCCGCCTCGGCCTCCCAAAGTGCTGGGATTACAGGCGTGAGCTTTTTTTTTTTTTTTTTTTTTTTTTTTTGAGACGGAGTCTCGCTCTGTCGCCCAGGCTGGAGTGCAGTGGCGGGATCTCGGCTCACTGCAAGCTCCGCCTCCCGGATTCACGCCATTCTCCTGCCTCAGCCTCCCAAGTAGCTGGGACTACAGGCGCCCGCCACTACGCCCGGCTAATTTTTTGTATTTTTAGTAGAGACGGGGTTTCACCGTTTTAGCCGGGATGGTCTTGATCTCCTGACCTCGTGATCCGCCCGCCTCGGCCTCCCAAAGTGCTGGGATTACAGGGCCATATCTTGACTTTTATAGCTTCTGCCCAGGTATCTTGCTTCTAATCCTCCTGACTTTTGGATCTGTCAAGGTCCTCTGAGAGCATGCACATATGCATTTCTCTTCAGTCTTCATCATCACTCACTCTAGCAATAAACAGAGCTTCTAAATTTTACTTCCAAGAAGTAAAATTACCAAATTTTGGTAGTACCAAAACTACCCAATTATGGCCCTGACTTCTCTGGAAGCTAATGAAGCACAGTTTTTTGTAGTCCCAGGATTCTAAAAAGAAAAAAAAAGAGATTGTTTTACAATAACTCTGCATGATTTTTAAACTTGCCTATTGATATAGTTTGGACATTTGTCCCTCCAAGCCTTAGGCTGAAATGTGGTCCTCCACACTGTAAATGGCGCATAGTGGGGGGTGTTTGTTTGTGTCATGGGGCTGGATCCCTCATAAATGGCTTGGCGCCCTTGCCATGGTTAATAATTGAGTCTTCCACTGTATTGATTCCCACAGTGGAGCTTACATCCAAACAGGTTGTTGAAAAAAGGCTGATACCTTCTCCCCTTCTCTCTCTTGCTCTCTCTACATGTGACATGCCTGTTTTCCTTTTTCCTTCTGTACTGAGTGGAAGCCTCAGAAACCTCTCACCAGATGTGGATGCTGGCACCACATATCTTTTACAGCCTGAAGAACCAGGAGACAATGAAAGCTCTTTTCTTTATAAATTTTCCAGTCTCATATTCTTTTATAGGAACACAAACAGACTATGTTTCTCTGGCTGATAACTTGCCTATATCAGTAAGCAGTGGAGATCAGCATTCACTATTTCCTGCATTCCATAGAGAACAAAGAGGTGGTTTTCAATGGTCCCGTGAGCTCTTCCTTAAATCCAGCCCTTGGCTTCCTCTAGCTTTTAGCTTCTCCATGGAAGCACTCTAACCTTTTAAACTCCTCCATTAGGACCAGTATTTTTTTTTTTTTGAGATCGAGTCTCACTCTGTCACCCAGGTTGGTGTGCAGTGGTGTGATCTCAGCTCACTTTGACTTCCACCTCCCAGGTTTAGGTGATACTCCTGCCTGAACCTTCAGAGTAGCTGGGACTATAGGCACGTGCCACCAGGCCTGACTATTTCTTTTTTTTTTTTTTTTTGTGTGTTTAACAGAGAGGGGATTTCACCATGTTAGCCAGGATGGTCTCGACCTCCTGACCACGGGATATGCCTGCCTTGGCCTCCCAAACTGCTGGGGTTACAGGCGTGAGCCACTGTGCTCAGCCTATACCAGTCTTCTATTTTAACTTGTCTGTTTCTAGGGTCCGATGTGCCAGAATAGGCATTCTGTGATTCTGCCAATTCCCACCCTCTCCACAAAAAAAAAAAAAAAAAAACAAAAAAAAAAAAACAAAAAAAAACACTATTGTTAGATAAGGACACCTTAGTGAATAATTCTATAACTTGGGATTGAATATATGACACATTTTTCAACTGTGGATCTGAGAATAGCCACACACACAGGATAAAAGAACAGTTTTAATTTGATGCTTTTTCTCCTCCCCAGGCCAGCACAGTGTTGCATACAAAAAATTTCCCTGGACTCACAGTTTCTTCACAGAGGAGAGAGTTGAAGGTGACTTTTCTTTTCCATTTTGCAATTCTTCACATGATTTTCTCTCTAGTCTTACCCTGTGGGAAATATTGGGGTTATCAGACAACTGGGTTCAGTTAGAAACAAAGTACATGGATGGGGCTCACAGTGACTGTAACAGTAATCTTACTTGTAGCTTTGCATTCCAGCCAGCAGACGTGCACCATCAGACAAACTAGGCAACAGTATCATTCTGCAGTAACCAAACATGGTTGATGGGTCTACCAGGCTCAAATCACTGGCCAATTGCCCAATCCCATCCTGGTTTTATTTGCAAAACTTCCAAAGCTGTGACAAACAGGTAGCTTGGTAGCTTGGTGATTAAACATTGGAAGGGGCATGTTACCCCACCCAATCCCAGGTTCCATACTTTTGACCATCCTAGCCCTGTGTGCTCCACCCATCCCCAGGCTGAAAAGCAGAGGTAACTTAGTGGTTAAGGATGAAGTTTCTGGCCCCACCTGGACCCAGTGGGCAAGTAGTTTTATAATAAGGCTTGGTACCCCTGGAAGGAAGATCACTTCTGATATATCTAATGGAAATCACTGGATTAGAATCTCTAGAGCATGTGACTTATTGAGAAACAGAGAATCCCAGTCTCATCTCCAGACCCCCCCAGTGCTACTGGGAAGCAACTATGGTGCTGGGGAACATGCCTACCTGAGCCAATGAATGTAGTCTATCCATGCTCTGTCCGGCAGAAAATGAATCTAGACTCTCCAGCCTCTGCCCACTATGGGGAAGACCCACTCTCAGCTCTGGCCCTTCCACTTTAGTCAAGGAACCATATCTTTGAGAAACTTTCTGGGCAATATGCAACTTTCTTAGCAGAGACCAGGCTCTAAATGATCTGTTCAACAGCAGATGTCAAGGGAGCTGATTGTCAGCCCCAGGCTCTCTTGCTGCAGGCAGAACTAGCCCATCTGTTCAGAGACCTTCCAGTAACCATCACAACCAAAATTACAAGCATGCCATTCTCTGTTCCACAACAGAATCTAAGTGGACCCAGTCTCAGCTCCAGCCTGTCCAATTTCAATTTCTGACATGGAATTATTACTAATAAGTAACCTACCAGCCAAAAAAAATAAAAAAACAAGAACTGATAGATTCAGGATGAATTCTACAAGATCTACAAAAAGCTGCATCATATTCCATTGTGTGGGTGACCCTAGTTTGTTCAACTGGTTATGTATGCATGCTTACACACACACACATGCACACACACACAAAATAAAAAACAAACACAAGCAAACAAAAAAAAACTGCATACATCTAGGTTTCATGTCTCTCAAAAAGCTGCAGTGGAAATGCCAAGTCGGCCTCTGGTATCATCTAAAGGCTCACTGGGGAAGGACCCACTCCTTTGCTTTCATTACATTGTCGCCAGCAGCCTTGTCCACAATGGCAATTTTTCAGTGGTTTCTTACAGCTCTCTAGAGAACCTGCAATTATGTTTATTTATATGGTTTACAATATATTCCTTAGCCTTTATCTCTAAACTTGAGGCTGGGTAAAATGGCCCAAGTCTGTAATCTCAGTACTTTGGGAGGCTGATGTTGGAGGAGCCTATGAGCCCAAAAGTCTGATATTACAGTGATGTGTGATTCAGCCTGGTGGCAGAGCAAGACCCCGCCTCTAAGTAAATAAATAGTGAAAATACAACTGATAGTAATATTTTTGTTTTACAGTTTGGAAACACAAATTTCCTTCATCAAATATTTGAATATTTGATAGTAACACAGCACATTTGCTTGTACATGGGAACCAGTGCAGGAAAGCAATGGGTTTTGATGCTCTTTCCCCTTAATCCCTGAACATATATATATATATATATATATATATATATATATATATATATATATATATATATATACTGTGATGATAAGGGGTGAGTTTGGATCAAGAAGGCTTTCTGCCAGAGCCATCAAAACTGTGGAAATAAAATCCTCCGCAAGTCAGGAAACTTAAAAGAGTCTTTACTGGTAAAGGTAACTATAAAATCTCTTGCAGATTTGATTTCATTTTTAATTTAGAATAGTTTAGGCAGCATAACAGAGACTACCCTGACCTTGGTAGTTTGTGATTTGATGACAAATGTCAATTAGATTTCGTTGTTGAAAACTACAAGAATCTTAGTTAACACCATAGTTATGTGAGTAATTTTGACAATATACACCAGCTTATTTTAAAGTTTCAATTAGTCCATTAGAGACCTAAATACTATTTTAAACATAGTTCAAAATTCATGTGGATAAGGGGCAAAATGGCAAGTTTTTATTTTTATTTATTTCCTTTGGGTTTTATGCCATTCATTCTGTTTTTCTTTTCTCCCCTTCCTTCCTTCCTTCCATCCTTCCTTCCTTCCATCCTTCCTTCCTTCTTTTCTTCCATTTTCTCTCACTCTCTCCCCCATCCCTCCCCACTCCATCCCCACTCCCTCTATCTTTCCCCTCGCCCGCCTTTCTTTTTTCTCTATCTCTGTTTCTCTCTTTGATATTTTTTTAGATGGAATCCTGCTCTGTCATCTAGGGTGGAGTTCAGTGGCATGATCTTGGCTCACTGCAACCTCCCCATGCCAGGTTCAAGCAATTCTCCAGTCACACCCTCCTGAGTAGCTGCAACTGTAGGCATATGACATCAATCCTGATCAATCCTGGCTACCTTTTTGTTTCTGTATTTTTATTAGAGACCAGGTTTCACAATGTTTGCTCAGACTGGGCTCGAATTCCTGTCCTCAAGTGATTCACCCCCCTCAGCCTCTCAAAATGCTGGGATTCCAGGTGTGAACCAAAATGCCCACCCAGTTTTATGCATTTCTCTCGTCAGTAATCTCTCCTATCTAGTTTAATATTTTATTTTATTTTTATTTTTGAGACAGAGTCTCACTCTGGTGTCCAGGCTGGAGCACAGAGATGTGATCTCACTTCACTGCAAACTCCATCCCCGGGGTTCTATGGATTCTCCTGCATCAGCCTGCTGAGTAGATGGGGTTACATCCATGGGCCACCAAGCCCGGATAGCTTTGGCATGATATTAGACATGGGATCTTGCCGGGTTGGCCAGGCTTGTCTCAAACTCCTGACGTCAAGAGATCCACCCACCTCAGCCTGCCAAACTTCTGGGAGTGCAGGTGTGAGTCTCCCTGACCTGCCTCATATCTGTGTTAAAGCTCAGTTGATAAGCAATATTGTCTTCCTGGAATGCTTTTTGTTTATGAAACAACTATAGTACTATTATTTAGTGCCTTCAGATAAAATATGCTAGCACACAAAACATACACACACAGACACAGACACAGTCAGTGATCAAAAGATCAGTGTAGGCCAGGACCTAAAATGAAAGATGAGTTGCTGCAGTTGTCTAGAATTAAAGCAGACCAGAGTTGACCCATACCCAGCCAAGAGATGTGAACAGAGGCCTTCAAAATACTCTCTCAGATACATGTTAGATTATTCTCCAGCCACAGCAAAGGGACATTAAAGATCTGTTGTATTTAGAAGAGCCTTGATGGTTTGACTTTTCCAGGTTATTAACATATATGATGTTGGCCTTTAAAGTTCTCCAGAATTACTCAGTAGACAACTCAGTTTTTCTAGGAGTTGAAAGTGCTTTTTAAAATTATCTAAAACTTAGTGGCTGAAAACTATAATTATAACTTACTAACTGTCAGTCTCTGCAGTCTCCTACAGTCTCTCAGCCAAACGATTGTGGTTCAGGGGCACTCAGGAGAATGCAATCTAGTGATGGCAAAGGATGGGGACATTGACAGATGTCTTCTCATCTCCCTGGTGCCATGGCTAGCATAACTCAAATAGCAGGGGCTGGACCGCTGAGATCCTCAGGCATCTCCTTCTATTTCTGTGAGTCTCTCCATGGGATGTCCCTTCTGCATAGTGTTATCAGGGTGTTAGACTTCATGATGTACTGGTCAGGGGCTCCTGAGGGGTTTGTCCCCCTGAGAGCAGGAGACTTAGGCAGAGCTATGTCACCTTTTCTAACCTAGGCCAGAGGTGGACCAGTATCCAGAAAATGCTTGCACTGTTTTCTATTCATTACAAGCAAGTACTGTGTTCAGTCACATCAGGAATGTTTTTTCAAATGGGTTTGCAGAGAATTTCAAAGTGTGTTTTAGACCACTACAGTGGCCATGCCTAATAATTACTTATTTTTGTAAGTACTGGATGGGTTTTACCCAACATAATAGCAGATACAGACTTTTAAGCTTGAAACCTATGTGTCATAGCGCCAACCATTTGGTTATCTGTTGAAACAACTCTCAAGCAAAAATAGATTTTGAAATGAGAGCCATAAATAAATAAATGAGATAAACTCATAAATATCTGGATGAAATGCTTATAAAGAGGTCAACCTTAAAAACGTCATGAGGTCACCGGGTGTGGGGGCTCATGCCTGTGTAATCCCAGCACTTTGGGAGGCCAAGGCAGGTGGATCACGAGATCAGGACATCGAGACCATCCTGGCTAACACAGTGAAACCCCATCTCTACTAAAAATACAAAAAATTAGCCAGGCACAGTGGCGTGCACCTGTAGTCCCAGCTACTTGGGAGTCTGAGGCAGGAGAATGGCATGAACATGGGAGGCAGAACTTGCAGTGAGTCGAGATTGCTCCACTGCACTCCAGCCTGGACGACAAACCGAGACTCCGTCTCAAAAAAAAAAAAAAGTCATGATGTCTAATGTGCCACTCTTTTACTATTTCTATGGATATTACTTGGACAGGAGGACCAGGAATCAGGGGACTGCTGGTCACTCTCTGTACCTTGAAACAGTGGCTGGGCCACCAGGAGTAACTCTTCCAGCCAACACCATGTGGTGAGGATGAGGAGTCCATCTGGGTTAAGGAGGGTGTCAGCATAATGTGACCTGGAGGAGAAGTACACCTAGTAGGGCGACTAGGATCCAGGTCTCTGGCACACATTGAAATCCCCCATGCCCAGCTGTGGCTGAGTGAATCCCTCGGCTTGTGCTGGGCTTCCAGGGATGCTTGGGAAGCAGCTTCCTGGGCTGGGAAGGATCCCACCATTCCCTTGCCATGAGGGAGGGTTAGGATTGTGGCCTCTGCTCTGTCCATTCCAGCTCTTTCTCTTCCCATTTTCCCACTGCTGGGTAAGGTGGCAGGACCCCGCAACATACAACAGTCCTGAGTTGTTGAAAGTTCCTGTGGGTGTCCATGTACTAGAAGGAGAGTTATCAATGAGCCTTCTGTGAGTTTGAAGGCTGGGAGGAAACACCGGTGGGGCACTGGCTCGTCCAGGGTCCAGGGACCCATCCTGGAGAATGCCAGGGGGAAGTTGTAAGCCTGTGGATCTGCAATCTACGTGGAAGAGCTGTATCTGCCATGGCTGACATCATCAGGGCAAGACACCCGCCAGGTGGAGAGCTGGGCTTATGCATTTTTATCCCTGTCCTGAAGAGACCCTGCATGCCAGCCTCTCCTGGAACCAGTGATCCTGGGGAACCTGCTCTGGGTCCACTCATGACCATAAGCTTAGGATCTTGTGTGCCTTGCTTCCTATCTGCCCAGCTGAGGCACCCTGGAGAGGATGTGCGGGGCGAAGCTTGTGTGTGCACATGCAGCACTGGAACAGGGTGTCACCGGCCAATTAGGCCGCTGCTCACCAGGCCCTCCCCTGTGCTCCCACCTGGCTAAGTGATAAGTGTCTCATCTACCTCACCCTGCAGCCCGGGTTTCTCCTTCACCTACTGACCCACGCCCTCGTGGGGAGAATGCTAGCCTCTCTGGAGACTCAGGCCCTGCTGGACCCACTTGCTGTCCTCCTGTCTCATGGGCTGGACACTCTTTGGTGCACAGGGATTCCTGGACAGCGAATCCCAAAGCCCCACAGATTCCATTGCTTCTTCCCTGAATGCCCGCCTTCCCCGACCAAACACACAGGGAGACACAAGGAGCTATTAGGTTTTATTTCCCTCCGGTTGTCATTTCAGGTCCATGATATCTCCTCTAGGTAGCTTGCGCCAGCCAACCTTTTCCTCCTCCTTCTGCCATTTTTGAGAACCACAAGGACTCTTCACGTCTCCCTAGTGTGCAGGCTTCATGGTCCTGAAGTTGGATTGCCAAACCTGGCAGCACCCTGCTTGCCAGCTCAAAAGCTGAATTTGAGATACACCTGTGGCGGGAGTGTGGGTCCTCCCCAAACCAAGGTACACAAAGGTACACAGGCACAGGTGTGCACACACGTGCACCAGCTCAGACACACAGGCTGGAACATGCCTACACTCACACTGGCATGAGGGAAACTGGGTGTCTACACCAATACTCAGGTGAGCCTTAATGCTCAGCCACATTCCCTCTCTGGACACACACAGAAGTTCCCCTGCCATTTAATTGATCCTCAATAGTGGGATTTATTTTTACTTTTATACTTTTCTAACTTATCAAAGTATGTTGCATACTTCCCCCATCATGAAAAAGACTTTGATACAGGTAAGGAGGAAGAGCATTTTTTAATAATAAAATACTTTATCTGCATCTCTACTATTAAGGCATTTTACAAATTTTATGTCTTTTTTTAATGTCATAGGTAATGTCTCGGGGCTCGGGCAGCATGAGTGAGGATGGCAGAGGGGAGAAAGAATGTCAGGGGAGCCTGGGGTCATTGAAACAGATCATGATAGGGCTGGCCATTCTAGAAGGACATAGACCTAGGTGCGCCTCGTGTGCACCTCTCTGTGGAGGGTAAGAGGGCCCTAGTTCAGCCCAAACTGAGCCCCAGGTGCTAGCAGGCCTCAAGGCACGGAAGGGACCCGGAGAAGGATGATGAGGCAGCTATCCATTGAGCCTTGCTTCTCACCCATTGATCTTCGCCACTTCTGCCTCTTAGGCAACTTCAGGTTCCCCAATTCTGAAATATGAGTGTTTCAGTTCCCTGATGGGCCTTTATACCCCAGCCCAGGGATGGCCTGAGATTTCCCACTGCAGGCTCCTCCCTGAACCTTGAGTTCTCCATGTGTGCCCCAGCTCCAGGACCCACAGGCCTCTGAGTCCCCAGCCCTGGGCTGCTTACCTGGTTTCCTCTCTGTTCCCTCTCTGAGGGCCTAACTCCTTCCCGTAGTGCTGCAGGGATTGAGACAGAAGCCCTGACTGATGACGTGGGGGGCTGCGGAAAGGGGTCTGTGACTGGCCAGGTCATAGTTCAAAGCCAGTTCCCCAGACGTCAAGGAAAGACTAGAAAGGACCTTAGCCATGATGCCCCACAGCACCCTACACCTCAGCAATCCTGGCTGACCCTGAGTGGTCATGGTCAGTCAACCCACTGAAGAAGCTCAGTTAGTCTGTGTACTGCCTGAAGCTGGGGCTTCTCCTGCATGACTCTAAAATGACTGGACTACAGTAGAGCCAGAAGCTATGTATCCTGGGGCAAGAGGAGTCTGGAAGACTCATGCGAGGCCTAGCCTCCTGCCGCTGGTACCAGGAATGGCTGAGTTCTTCCACCTGCCAGGCCAAGAAGAGGAAAGACTCAAAGAGACCATTTCATCTAGCTAGGCTTAGGGCCTGATGGCCTGGGTGAAGCATGTGTTTCCCCTTTCCAGCTCTCCTGCTGAGACACTCCCGGACCCAGGGAGGACCTCAAACTGACCAGGACCTTTGACCCTTACCCCAGACCCATGCTCCCCAGCCTGATCTGCAAATCCATCCTGTAGCTTACTTAGCAGGACTTCCTCATGGTTTCTGAACCTGGCCGACCTCTGGGTGTGCGGCACTATCTGCCTCTGGTCAAGGAACCTCCAGATGATTGGGTGGGCATGCCAGGAAACACCCTGCTACTTTTCAAGAGCTGGGAGAGTGTTGGGTAGGGCTTTCCCCCAGACCTTTGGCCTGGCACCCTGCACTGGTGGTCCTGTCTCTGTCTGGCATGGGGGGCATGGTAGTGGGTGTGGTGGTCTTGTGGGTGGGTGGAGAGAGGCCCAGAAAGCCTCTGCCAACAACAAGCGGGGATCACAAGTAGACAGGGTGCTGTGGTGTGAGGCCGTTTCTTCAGAGTTCCTGAGCTGCACGTGGCCCTTGCGTTCCAGTTGCTGGACAGGCTCTGCTGAGGGTATCTAGGTGTGCTTTCCCCTCTTCTCCTGGTCTCCCTGTTGGGTGGGCGTGTCCACTTGAGGGAACCTCAGTGAGTAGAAGGGACTACAGTGCTGTGCCTGGCGTTCATCATGGGGCTCGCGTGTATGCAATGAAGGCTTGTGTGCAATGGAGGTTATGTATGCTCAGGGCCTACAGCTCTTTGGGTGCAATGCAGGTAGAGGGAAGAAAGCCTTTCTGGGGAGCTGGTGGCTGCCTTGCAGAGGACAGCAGCCACATGCACTGTGAACCCGAGTCTTGAGCACCTTGTGTTTCTGGGGTGAGGATGCTGGACACTGAAATGGGGAGTGGGGGTGGTTCCATGACTGGTATGGCCTTGCAGACTCTCCTTCCTCCAAGGACTTTCCCAGGGAAACGTACCCTTCAACTTACGGTTGTGCATGAAGGGTCCTTGGCGCCAGTTTTCTCCTTTGTGAGTGCTAAGCTTGGCTCCCAGTCCGTACCACATGCTCTCAGGGCACCTGCAAGCAGGCTGCCCTCCTATCTGCAGGAGCCTGGCCTCTGCTCCCCTCGCTGTCCCCCATGCCCTGCCTCCTGGCTGACCCCGTGTGCCCCTGGACTGGATCCCCTGTTCCCCGCCCCCTGTAGCCCGTCGCGCACCCCCTGCTGCCAGTCATCCCGAATGGGCAGCTGCAAGGATATGGCTCTGGCCCAGAAGCCGGAGATGCCCTGGCTAATGGCCCCTGTGCCCTCCAGGCCGGGCAGGTGCTTCTGCCAAAGCTTCCGTCTCAGCCGCGGGCAGACCATGCGGCCTGGGGCATCCACAGAGTGCAGCTCCAAGTGAAGGACCTCCAGCGAGTCTGTTGCCGGCTAGGGTGTGCTGGGGCCGCGGACAGGCTCTGTCTGCTGGTCCTCCTCCTGCCTCTCCATGTCAGCCTTCTCCTCAACCACGACGTGGACCACCGCCATGATGTCGTCCACCACCAGCACCTTCTCCTCCCACAAGGGCGCCTCCGCGCTGCATGCCCTGGCTGCCCTCTCCTGCAGGAGCCTCCAATTTGAATGGGGTGCCTCTTTTGGAGGTCCCACTGACCACGACTTTCACTGTCCACTCCACGTTCAGATAAGTATATCCTTAAAATATACTTTAAAAAACTTAAAAGCATTCCTATTTCTCCACATCCTCTCCAACATCTGTTGTTTCTTGACATTTTAATGATCATCATTCTAACTGGATGAGATGGTATCTCATTGTGGTTGCACGGTCATGGATGAAGCTGGAAACCATACTAAGCAAATTATCACAAGGACAGAAAACCAAACACCGCATGTTCTTATTCATAAGTAGGAGTTCAAAAATGAGAACACATGGACACAGGGTGGGGAACATCACACACTGGGGCCGGTTGTGGGGTGGGGGTTTGGGGGAGGGATAGCATTAGGAGAAATACCTAATGTCAATGACAAGTTGATGGGGGCAGCAAACCAACATGCACATGTATCCCTATGTTACAAACCTGCACGTTGTGCACATGTACCCTTGAACTTAAAGTATAATAAAACAAAAAAAGAAAAAAAAACTTAAAAAGGAAAAATAACTCTCCAAACCCAAATACGAAATAGAAAATTAGTATCAAGTGGCCTACAATGTAACTTAAATGAAAATGTCACAAACATTCAGCAGATAGTGTCTAAATGCCACAATAAGCCTGGCAGTCTGCAAGAAGCTCAGAAAAATATAGTCCTTGCTCTTCTGAGTGTGCAGCAGTAACAGGCACAGAGATAAATGAATAATAAGTGTTGTAACTGCTGTAATAGGCAAATAAAGGAAATATAACTGGAAATAAGGGAAACAATTTTGATAAAACATTGATAAATGATGAAATGTAAAAAAATAAGACTCATGGTCTTAATAAATGTTGCCTTCTTCCCTCCAGAAGAAAACTCATGCCTTTGCTTTATTGGCTCCGACATGTTCCTAATGAGATGTAACAGCTCTGATTTGTATTACTCAATCACATTTTCATCATTTATGAAACACGAGTTTAAAAATCTTTTGAAGGTCAAATGAGAATATTTGCTGTTATTGGATAAACTGTCAAGTGCTACCCGAATATTATTTTCTCACGGTGATTTACACCATGTGTATATCACATGGTTAACATAGCATTCTCATAAAGGAAATCTTGAAATGTGTCTGCTGCTTAGTTTTCATTTTTCAGCTGTTTCAGTCATTGTTATTTATCATATGCTTCCTAGGGGCTTTTGAATTTTAAAAATAATATGTAAAAACTGAAAAGAGAAGGACAATGAAATTGTGAAGCTACAGTCATAATAATTTTATTAATTTAATTGTTTATAGAGCTAGATTAGATTAGATTTCTCCCAAAAGATTCTTGGAGAAATTCTAAGATGATGCACCCACTGTTTGAAATGGCCATAAAGTTGTTGCTTAAGTTAGAGTTAACTCTTTTTGGAGCGTGAAGATACATTAATAGTTTCATGTATTAAAACAGGGAAAATAGGATTTTTAGTGCAACTTACTGTCACCAAAAATAATCATAACTTTTAAACTGTTCCTTATGTCAAATTAAATTTTTCACTTCCCTACAACATGTTTTGGATTAGGCAAGTATTTTTAAATATGTTTTCACCCTTACTGTACTTCTGTGAGAAACTACAGACTTAAATTAATCTTATAATTATCTTTCAGTTTTACTTGTCTGTTCCTAAAGGTTCACAGAAATAAAGAATTCCATTTATGCTTGCATCTTTCAGCAACCTCATTTCAGATAATGGTGCACATTACTGCAGGTATCACATGTACAGGTCCAAAAGGAGAAGAAGAAGAATAAAGCAAGCTTTTAAGTCTATACATTTGTAACACTATATCTGAAACTCAGTAGTCATAGTGAAATCAAAAAATGATCACAGTCAAGTCCATCTCATACCTACACTTAAGTATGAAACTTCCAAAGAAAAGAAAGTTAAGAACTTTGGGCTTGTCCAAATTTTCCTATATAGATAAAATTATTGGTGTCTTTCTCTCACTAGAAAACATAAACAAAAATCCATGTATAAATAAAAATATTTTTATTTCTATGAGTTACAACATGCAAGCAAGTAATAAAGTGAAAGTACAATAATAAAATGATATAAGGAAATTTCTCTGTGTAAAAAATTCCATTGAGACTATTAATTTTACAAAAACCATAGAGAATGCTTCATGAAACTACATTATACACTACTTTTTAGTATTTTACTTAAATTTTAAATAATAAACAAATTAAAGGAAATTCTTAATCATTATTTATTATCAATAACATTATTCTTCTCAAGCAATCCTTCTGAGATTACATATTTGAAATAAAACATAAAAATAAATTGTATTGACTGACATCAACTTTCGATGAAACAATACTTCTGTATTTGTAGTCCTGTGAAGTATAAATTTCTCCTCAAAATGGCTTTTTTATAACACCAGTTTTATTATTTTCTCTGATACAAACCCTGTAATATCTCACAGCTTTACTGTATCCATACATTACATGCCTCCAGAAAGTAAGTTTCAAACAGATGGAAAAATTGTATTTATGACAAAATTCTAGGAAAAGGAATGGTAAAATGGGAGAATAATTTCAAAATTTCTAACGTTCATCAATGGATTTGGATATATTTAGATATAGACAAATATTTGCACGCTGTAAGTTTGCACATGTGCATACAAATTTATATGAGCTACTCATAATGTATGGGTTATGTAATCTTTTCATTAATCCTCAATTTTACATGTGGGAAATGTGGTAAGAGTTTACTCTTATCAAATACTCAATTTGAAGTACTACACTCAATTTGATGTAAAGCCAACAAAATCTCTGTCAACATTCATTTCAATTAATCCAATAATTGAATTGAATTAACTGCTGATAGCTTCATTCTCCTTGTCCACTGCTGGCAGCCTGAAAGTTGATTCTCACTCTAATTCAGCACTCAGGGGGCCATCCACAAGAGACTATCACCTTGCTGTGGATTGTGACCTCTGACTCCAACACTTTCGTCTTATAACAGTCCTACCTTTGCATATTTAAGGTACGTGGTTTAAAAAAGTGCAGTGAAATGTCAGGCCATGCTGCGAAATGTTCCATTGTTTCTATATCTCCAATTGACCTTTCATGTTATAAAGGGCAAAAAAAACCTCAATACATTTCTTAGTATTCAGTCCAATGCACCCTTTCTTATTAATATGCCAAACCCGTCCCGTATAGGCACTGACATGTAAACATGCCTAGATGTATCAAAATATCTTCTCACTAATAACTATTATGTTAATCACTGTTGCCCATATCTGGACTCTGTGAAATCCTCAGGTGGAAACTGCTATAATGGCTAAAACTACAGGAATGACTATCTTTTGGCATAATTACTGCTGTTATTTTACGAAAAATATCATATTAGATGGCAGCTAAGCCTGTTGATTAATTTTTAATGTCCAGCATTTATGATACTGTACAAGTAAATATCTTTGATAACTTAAATGGTTAGCTGAGCAATGACTAAAATAACTCACAGCAATTCAAACATTTGTTCACTTACTTGAAGTGCCATACGTAATTAACTCCTGATGAAAACAAAGTTGGGAAATTGCAAGTGCAGAACTGGTTACTAAAGTATGTATTTCAGGGTATTTTATAAAACTATCTGTGCCATGTATGATGCCTCGCCGGTGAGGTAAAGCTTTAGCATATATAAAAATAAATGTCTTTGGTTCTTAATATCTCTCTACATTTGTCTTCATAACCTCAACACAAAAACACCCATGTACTTGACTGTCAACTGACTTGACTACCAGTTATTAGGGTTTAAGTAAACAGAATAAAGATTTCAAAATTTGGACCAAATATGAGAAGTCACACTCTCCCCCTAAGAAATAATTATTCTCAAGTGCCACTAAAAATGCAAAATTGAAAGAAGAAATTAAGTCTACCATATTGTAATATTCTAAAATCTAAATTTTTTTCATTGAGTTCTGGTGGTTCATGCCTGGAATCACAGCCCTTTGGAAGGCTGAGAAGGGAGGATTGCTTCAAGCCCAGAGTTCAAGACCAGCACAGACTACATAACAAGACCTATCTCTACAAATGTAATTAATTAATTAAATGAATTGGGCATGATGACACACATCTGTTGTTCTGTTTACTCAGGAGTTCAAGGTTGTAGTGAGCTGTGATCACACACTGCACTTCAGCCTGGGCCAAGGCGTAAGACTTTGTCTCTACAAAATAATTCAATATAACAACAACAAAAAAAATTGAAATAAAAACTCTTTCAGATGTCTTTTGGAAGTTTGTATAATTGCTTCAAAAGCATAGACATTGTTTAAGTTGAGCAATTCATGGGGAATGGTCAATTAACATTGTTTACATTGTTTTCCAAAAATTAGGATAAATATGTTAGACTATTATATATAAATATCTAATAACCTTTTATACAATAAATATTGACAAATGTCAAGCCATTGTGTTTATAGACTTTTCCTTCAAAATATTCATAGTTTAATTGGACGATGAGAGAAGAGCAAAAATTGCAATGTACTCTGACAAGTGTTACAATAGAAACAATTTAGTAACTTAATTGGAGAGGAAGTAAGTTCTTAACCGGGTTTACAGGGGTTTGGGGAACCTTCTTAGGGCAGGAACGATTGACTGCATCTGTAAGGATACCAATCTGTAAGAAGAATGTCTGGGAGAAAAACATTGTAGAAAAAAAAGAAACATTCTTTCTATCAGTAATAGAAGTACTAACAGTGTATATGATGCCATTTGCCCAATTCTTATACCATACTAGCTCAATACATATTTCTTGAATGAATCCATGAATGGAAGATATTGGAAAAAGGATTCTGGAAAGGATTTTCAGAATCCTATAAAGGAAAGGTAAATACCCTGGACTTTACAATTTTGCCTGTTTTTCTTTACGTTCTTGTTGTTTATTACCTCATGAGCTCTATTTTACTTTTTGGTCTTTTCACAAATATGCATGAATCATTCCTGAGACTACTTCTCTCTTGATCCCTTGATAATATACTTGTCTCTGATACTCCTTTGTGTGAGGTACTGGGTTTGTACGTGCACAGATACATCACTCACCTCTTGCTAGTACTGTTCTGTAACAGAGATGCCTGGTCTCTGGGAAGCAGGGTTCCTAGGCTCCCATAAAAATTTCTTCCTGTTTCAGCTCAGTCAAGGGGTAACACTGCAGAGATTAGAGAACAAGATGAGAGAAGCCAGTTAGTTTCCCTCTCCTTCTCAGTAGGGGATATGTTTCCGCAGTGATTCCGTGGCCTGCAGGACATGCTCTCTGTGCTTTCATTTTCCATATAGTGACCCTAATCCCAGACTGGCTCTTCTAATGCCATTTTCTCCAATTATCTTCTTTAAAGGATTTGGGTACTATTTTTGGAGTTTTAAATTTAAAAAATACTGATATGGATGGGGGACAGGGAAGTGCCTGGTAGTGGAGGGTGTGGTTCTTGGTTAGGGCTCCACCCTTATGCCTATGCTTACTGACCTAGGTGAGGACATGCACTTCTGTTTTCTTGCCCAAATGGTGAGTACATGCGCTTCTGTTTTTTTGCCCAAGTGTTGCATTTTCCAAGACCACCCTGGCCTGCCATACCCCCATCCTGTGCTATAAGAAACTCTGAGACTCTAGCAGGGAGAGTCAACAGCAGCTGGACATCGAGTGGAACCATCAGCAGAAGAAGTCACAGCAACTGGACCTTGAGAAGATACCAGAGAATGAAGAGCACAAGGACTGAGGCGGCACAACATCCATCGCAGAAGAACACAGAGTTCCTTGGGGCTGTGGGAGGAGAGTGCTGACCTGCCACATTCCAAGGGAAAACCACCTTCTCACTTCATCTCCCTTCTGGCTCTCCATCCATCTGCTGAGAACTACCACTCAATTAAACCTTGCACTCATTCTCCAAGCCCACGTGTGAGACAATCCTTCAGGTACACCAAAGCAGGAAGCCCCGGGATCCAGAAAGCCCTCTGTCTTTTCAGTAAGGCAGCCTACCTAATTGAGCTAACACAAGCCACCTACACATGGAGAAACTAAATTATCAGTGTGTAACACATGCCCGCTGGGGATTCAGGAGCTGTAAACATTCACCCCTAGATGCTGCTTGGGATCGGAGCCCCACAACCTGTCCTAACTGCTCGCTCGGTGATGGGAGGTGAGGGACATTTTCCCGTTTCAGTACGAGTCTGTTTCCAAAGCAGTGTGCTTTCTGCAATACTGCAGTGTTACCTCATTGCATATATTTGACAAAATAAGTTATAAACTATAACTAATGTGGTAAGAAAATAACCGGTGGAGAATAAGGAAGAAAAATGAAACACTGTGTCAGTAAGGAATGCTTTTGGCTTCTATATGAATAGAAAAAGTAAACATGAATTAAATAAACAGGGATTTCTAGTTTTCACATGTGAACCAGCCATAGTTACGCAGTTGCTGCCTTTGATCAGTTGCTCTGTTGCATGGTAGTAGCAGAGCAGCATGGTAATAACAGTGACTTTTTTTTTTTTTTTTTTTGCTATTTTCTCCAAGGTGAAACCTAGCTTAAATCCAACACCATGTTGAGTCCAGTTGTTTCTAGCCAGCTTTGCCCACGCTTTGGTTTTTTGGAGTCTTACCAGATTCTAGTTTATGCAGCTACTTTAAGGGTGTATTTTTGCTCCTCAGGTGAAACTGCTGCTTGAGATTTCTATTATCCTGCAATCACCTAGTATGTTTCTCATCTGAAAGCATGTGCCTTGCTCATTTTTCTCCTCAGGACACTGCAGGATGTTCTTTACCTGGTTTTTTAAAAGAGCATTGGTAAACCAGTTTCATTTCCCTCAAATACTTCTGAGAATTCCTGAGAAACTTACACATGTGTTAGCTGAAAACCTGGCACTGGACCACTGCCCATGCAGCTGCCTGTTACTAACTTCTTTCTTTAGATAAGATCTCCCAGACAGCAACTGCATGGGGCCCTCCCACCCCCACTCCCACTAAAGACCAACATCCAATGTTTAAAACATTTTAAGTCTTAGATATAGCATAAAGGGTTTATAGGATACAAAACAACAAATGGGATACATATATTAAGAAACAAAATTTTAGCCGGTATCAGTCTTTGACAACAAAGTTAACCATTTTAACTCTACAGTATAAATGTATTTACAAATAAAGTGTATGCATAGGGAAATGTTTCTTGCATTGTACACACTTTTTCAAGTGATGTTTTAGGCACTAATTTAAAATAGGTCATTTATTGAATTACACTATAACCTATAATGAAAATAGTAGAGTAGAAAGTTTTTTTTTTAACAGATCACATGTACACATTATTTGGTCTTCCAATTGTACTCTTTCTTTTCTATGCCTGTGTGTATGTCTATGTAATTTTAGATAGTTATAGAGAATAGATTTAGTACAAGTAATTAGAAATTAACCAGATTTTCTTTGTAATAAAAAAGGAACTGACTTACTTTAATTGATTTTTTAGTGGAACAGCAAAACTGGGTAAGTATTTATTCTGCTCAGGGAAAAGATGTACTGTTCTTTACAGACTAAAAGAGTTCTTTCTGGAGTAAGCCAGTGCTGGTATTTACCGCAGAAATACATTTGTTTTGGTAGATCTCTGTAGCCAGCTACCTGCAGAGAAGGAAATCCTACTAGAGAGAATTCTAAGTTGAATATTAAATATTCTTTCATTTGGGTGAAGCATTCACATATGATATTCTTTTACATTCAGCATAATCATAAAAGTTTAATTTTTATTCACTTTCCAAAAAAAATTATAAAAATTAACAAGAGAATTGTATATTCCTCTTTCAAAAAGCTTTAGCCTATTCAAATCTAACAAGTCCACTCTGAAATACCTGAAAATAATATATGAAATGAATAAGAAAAGAAAATACAGCAGAATGTACCAGATTTTTTTATGTATTGGCTGTATGTACATCTGTTACCTTTTAGTGGCAGAGAGAGTGCAGTCGACATAATTTTATTCATAATAGATGCCTATGCATCATATATTCACAGATAAATATTATTTCTCTGAAGACTGAAATAGAAAGCTAGGAAAACACAACATGGCACATATGCTGAATTACATTTAAGCAAGTGTGAATTATATAGTTAAATGATCTCTTCACAGGGCTTCTTATCACTTTCTCACTGGTTAGTCTAAGGATTAATTAGTTAAAGTTCCTAGGCTCTTTCAAGCTAAGAAACACCATCTAAGTGCTTTGCATTATCATGGTGACGCAAGAGTGAGGCATAAGTGATTTGTAACATCATAGGCTCTTTGAAATGTGTGTCTAGCCTGATTGTCAGTTTTCTCTAACAGTGTTTTATGGATTGGAAAGTGCTTATCATATTTGAAGAAGAAATGTGCTTTATTGAAATCATGCAAAAATCTATCTTTGTTCTATATATTAGTAGAGTGATGTTTCTCAAAATAGAAAAAAACTTGGGCTATGATTTCGAAGTTGATATATAATAAGGTAGAATTTTGACATCAATTACAACTTGTCTATTATCATTTGATTTACTCAGCTCTTGCTGTCTTAATTAGTGCAACTAAAGTCTAGTTAATGTGCATAAAGGTTGCTATCCCATCTTTTATACTTTTAAAGGCAGTCAGGAGACTATTCACTGTTTCCATAAAGCTTATATAGATTTTATCAGCATGTTTCAATCATGTATGACTGCAATAATGTCAATTCTAAAATGTAATTTATTCCCTTTAATAATGTTTATATGATAATATTAATAATAATTTATTTCCATTAATAATATTTTTATTTTATTTTGTATTTCCACATTTATTATATATTCAGAGAGTACATGTGCAGGCTTGTTACAAAGGTTATTGCGTGATGCTGATGTTTAGTCTTCTATTGATCCTATCACCCAGAGAGTGAACCTACTACCTAATAGGAAGGTTTTCAGCCCCTGCCCCTCTCCCTCTGTCCCTCTTTTGAAGTCTCCAGTGTCTATTGTTCTCATCTTTATTTCTGTGTGCACCCACGTTTTAGCTCCTATTTATGAGAATATTCAATATTTGATTTTCTTTTTCAGCATTAATTTGCTCAGGTTAATTACCTCCAGATGCATCCATGTTGCTGCAAAGGACATGATTTTGTTCTTTTTACAGCTGTGTACTATTCCACTGTTCATATGTACCATATTTTCTTTAGGAGCACATGGATGTGCTCCTAGGTTGATTCCATCTCTTTAACATGGTGATGAGTATGAGAATTCTTGTGTCTTTTTGGTAGCTTTCATGATTTATTTTCGTTTGAGCATATACCGAGCAATAGGATTGCTGGGTGAAATGGTAGTTCTATTGTTAGTGTTTTAGAAATCCCCAAACTGCTTTCCACAGTGGCTGAACATTCTCTCCACCACTGTATAAGTATTTCTTTTCCTACGTAGCCTTGCCTACCTTCGTTATTTTTTTATTTTGGTTATTTAATAATAATAATAGTCATTCTGACTGGTATGAAATGGTAACTTGTTGTGATTTTTGTTTGCATTTCTCTGATGATCAGTGATGTTGAGCACTTTTTTTATGTTTCTTGGACACTTTTATGTCTTATGAAGATATTTTAAATAAACATGCAATTATTTCCTCTATTCATATGTCAAATTCTGCCTATGTCCTTCTCTCATTTTTTGCTACATGATTTTACATGGATAATGAGTCAAAAAATGTGATGTGCTGGTAATGCATTTTGTTTCATACTTATAAATGTAAAATTTTTTTTTGAAAGGTAACACATTCTTCAATTTTTAATTTTTTTTATTCGCTGAAAGTGGCAATGGGGACAGGGAAATTTTAAAGCAATTACTTCACAAGGTAATTCCAATTTATACAGAATATTGTTCATATAAAATTTTTTTGAGGAAGATTAAAAAATGTATACAAATACTAAATAACATAATAAATACCATTTTAATCTAACTTAAAAATAACCTCCATTAATACATTCCTTGTTCTATTTACATTACCTCTGGTTGTAATTGGGATACACCCCATCAGATTCATTTGCTTTTTTCCATTTCCAGAGGCACCATTATCATGAACCTGGTATTACCTTCATATTTTTATAAATTTATTAAAATATTTATTTCTAAACAATACTGGTGTTTTGTGAATTTTTAATATTTATGTGAATATTATAAGGTGTGTATTATTTCACATTTTTTTGTTAACATTCTTGTGGAAAGCTGCAATTATTGATGGCATAGTTCTTAGTCTACTGAATACTATCATGTTCCATGATGTGTTTTTTGAAATCCTGCAATGAAAAATCTTGCCCAGGCCTCTGGGTACACATGTGTGAGAGTTTATAATGAATGTATTAGAAGAATGGCTGGACTGCAGTGTGTGTACAGTTTTAACTCTGAGGGGTTAAAATATTCTCATTGGCCCCCAAGACTATGACTTTATTACTATTGTTCATCCATGCTAATTGGCTTAGCATATGTCTTAGATTTTTCATTTTTAATGAAGTATTATTATAAGTTACATTGATTAGAACAAACATGTTTGTTAAATGTTCATTTTGTTTAATAATTGCAGCTATTGTCAGTATTCTATCAGTATGTGAGGAAAATAAAATATTAACAGAATGATGACTTGAGTTGGGAGATAAGTCTGAAAATCAACTTTATTTTCCTAACAGTTTACACCAAACATAGATAACATGCTGTCCTTCTTTTTCAAGGACAGCATGCGGCAGAGTGACAATAAATCAATATGCACTGAGTCAGTATTGGCTAGGAATGGCTAGCTTCTTCCAGTCTTGCCTTGTGTTGGAAAAAGTATTTGACATAGTTTTTTTTTTTTCTTTTCTTTTTTTTTACCGTGTGGCTCACTTACACGACATTGCCAGATCATCATGGTGGGTTTGGGGAAAATGAAGGAAATAATAGGCTAGACATACGTAAATTATGTGCTGGAAATAGAAGCTTAGCACACAGAGAGTAGTTAACTCGTCTGGCCACAGTGGTTTTGTCATCTCTCATATACCTACAACTATTTATTTATAGGTTGCTTGCTAATGACTATTTTTAAAAAATCTGTTTCAGCAGCAATGACCTGAAAATGCAAGTAGATATTTAATTAATAACTACTTGATTTCCCTTTCAATCAAATTATGGGTTGAAAAGTGCCAGTAAACACATGGTGTAGTCATAAAGCCTTGTAGTCCATGTTGGGACCACAGGCTAAAAGTGATATCCTGAAATCCAAAATATAGAGCGCTGAGGGGGAAAAGCAACTGCTATTTCAAAAGGTAATACTTAGTTACATTAAGAAAACTATGCCTGAAGATGACATTTTCACAGGTTTAATATGTGAATTTGGAAAAATTAAGCATATAATTCCGAGATGCTTGGCTTTTTATTTGCATCAAATTGCTATTTTTTAAAATCAACTGTGTACATTTTTAATTCTATTTTTTCTGCACTTAGGAATATTCATCAGTAATTGTTAGTATGTTAGCTCCATTAGCTACAGAGGAAATTCAAAAAGAGTTGAATAATGCCATTTAGATGTTTCAAACAGAAAATTTGATTAAAACATGGTTTGAATTTTTAATCAATCATCGGCACCAAAATAAAGCTGTGGAAATATTATTGTGCCAGAAAAAAAATTGAACAATATGATAAATGGTTGTTTAAAGTTCATTTAAAAAGCTAAACTTTGTTGATAACTTTTATTGGTGACAGGAAGAGGCAACTTTGGAAAAGCTTGCAAGTAACATTATTTAAAAATCAATATAATATTAAAATAAATGCATTTTCCAGAAAAGAACTACAGATAATTATTAAGAAACAGATTAATTCATATAAATATGTTCTATATAATTATTCTCCCTATTTTTAATATTTAAATAATGTAAATTATTTTTCTATTTTGCCTCAAGATATGTAATTGTGGTTTTAAATTTTTGAAGGGATTTCATTTTTAAAAATAGCTGGAAGATAACTATTTCATAGATCCATCAATACAATAAAAATTTGCCTGAAAGGAAATAATATATTAAATATTAAATAATTTTGTGTATGTTAGTACTCTTTATTCTAAAAAAGTTTCTGTTGGAACAATGAAAGTTTTAGTCACCCTAATTTTACTAAATATCATTAGAGAGTCCTGTGATTGATGGAACCAAATTACCATTCTTTACACCCTTGACTACAAGGGTTATTATGTTATTATGTTAATTGTTGCCAAGCTAATGAACAAAAGTTGGAACGTAATGTGGTTTTGATTTATATTCCCAGATTACTAATGAGTTCAATCATCTAGCCATTTTTCATTGGTCATTTGACTTTCCTCTTTGCCAAAATGGATCTATTTACCTGTCCTGCTTTCTTCTCCTAGGCTAGATTGTTGTCTGTTTGTAAGAGTTATTTTGATCTTTTTAGATACTGGTATTTTTATGTATATTTTTCTTAGTGATTTTCTGGAGTTTTATAAACACCAAAGATAATTTTTACAATTTATAATCTGAAGATTTTCAAAAAGCTAACTCAGAAGACATTTGTGACTATAATGCTAACTTCTAATGAAAAAAATAATTTTGCCACTTTAGCAAAACATATTTTAAAGACACTAATTAGAAAGTACTAAAGTGCTCACTTCAACCTTTTTCATAAAACTTGCATTTAAATAGTCTTTTCAATAAAATCCTTTGCCCTTACTGTAAGAACCAACTATTAAATATTGATTACCTAGCTCCTGCCTGGTTGTCTAAATATTTCATAATAGTCATTTTGGTAACAATCACTTATCATACTTGTTAGAATTACTGGTTCTCCAGGTCTCATTTCAAATTATTGAACCAGGATTTTGAAGGAAAATAATGAGAATTATCTGGATATATTTGTTATGCCCCATGTAATTATTTGGGGGTGTTTGTGAAACTCTGGTCTAACACATAAGATAAAGTAAAATAACAACAACAACAACAACAACAAAAAGAAAAGAATCAAGCAAAGAACATCAAGTCAGGAGTCAGGAATAAATACCTTATCTTTTACTCACTCCCACCTTCTCAAGTCATATGCCCCTCTCTTCTTTCTCATTCTTGGTAAATACTACTCCATCTATCTCGTACTTCACAGGGGTAATTAACCTGTTAGTTTGCAATTTAGCAAAAATGAGAAATCTATTTGTGAACATTTTCTTTAGCAACATGGTTCTAGCTATACACTGTGTGTCAGTTAATGTTATGGATAGCTATAAAATAGCAGTATTTAACAAATATTTGACCACTGTGGCAAAATTACCTTCTGTAAATGATCCACTGCTACTAAGATTACATTGACATTCTGGAGACTGTACTGACATTTTGAATTTCACATATTCATGGAAGATTGGAAAGCATCTTCAGTTGTCAGCACCAATGATGGTAACAGTTAATACTTGTATTAACTTCCAAATTTTTCTGTATTAAAGCAGGTGTGCAGGTATTGAATAAACAGGTATGCCACTGAAGCATAGCTGTGGTTAAAATTGTAAAAGTTTTCATGAAATTGCACATGACAACATCTCCACAGAAAATTTCGTTTTTTGGCTCACCTGGGAGAGGTTCAAGAAAAGGACATTTTATATTTTTAATGATTCCCCAGCTGGTTCTTAAAGCGAGATAGCACAATACTGTGGAAACAGGCAGTTCTATAATCTGACATTAGTCTTTAACATATGCTAAATATTTTGAGGCCCAAATTTCAGATGTATGAACTGGATTCTAAAATATCTAGTACCTGTGTGTGCAGTTATAAAGATCATATAATAACAATTGATTCTGTTTGCCTTGTACTTTTCTGTAAAACAAAGACATCATTTAACTGTATTACTTAGTATAGCTTCATGTGGGCATTTTTAAGGAACATTTATATTGTGATAAAGAAAATAGTAATACTGGCAGAGAATGGTACTTACTTCAACGTTGACTTTGCAGAGCTCCTGCTGTTCGGTAAGAAACTGACGAGAATTGCAAAAAAAAAAAAAGTGGATGATTGAAGGTTGTTTAGGGGCCAGCCTTTATTTACTAAGACTGTAAAATTTTCAGAGAGGACACACAACCTATGAACTGTTGGATGTGAAGAGAAGAGGCTGCCTCAAGGATCATCCTCTATGTTTCTAGCTGGAAATACAAGGTATATAGTGCTGTGATTTCTGAATAGTGGAATGCTGTAGGGGGAAACATGTTTGGAGGATGAAAGAGAACATAATTAAAATAATCCCTACTAACCAGTAGAGATGGGTTTCACCATGTTGCCCAGGATGGTCTCAATCTCTTGACCTCGTGATCCGCCCACCTTGGCCTCCCAAAGTCCTGGGATTACAGGCGTGAGCCTCCACACCCGGCTAAAATTTTACTTTTTTATGAAAGCCTTTTAAACCTTATTAACAGTATTTTTCTGATATTATAAATTATTCTCTAATATTTTCTTCTGGTAATGTGGCAGCTTTGGTTTTTACATGTATTTTTAAAATCATCGTCCATTTACTCTTGTGTATACTGTGATATAAAGATTTATTTTTATATGTGTTTAACAAATGTGTTTAGTCCATTTTGCCTTTTTATGTATATTTTGGCTTTCATTTGTTATGACCTTCAATAAAATTTAGTACTTTTCCTTGAAAATTGTTGTGTTTTTTAAATGTTTATTTGTATATGGCTCATAATTTTGTTTGTTCCCATAAACTCTATCAACTGTAATTAAATCTAATCCTATTGTTTAGAATTTTAGGTGCACCTTACCTATATGCTTAAATACTCATTGTTAGTGTTATTGTTTACAATGTTATTGCTAGCTTAGGGATACGTTCTTCTTTATTAATTTCTTTACTTACCTTGCTTCTTGAATTTTCCCTTTTGTGTGAAATTTCCTCTTTCCTAAAACTTAACCTTAAGAAATTATTTCAGCAAACAAACTGTCTGTAATACATCCTTGCAAGTTTTGTATAACATAAAGTGTCTTTATTTCACCCTCACACTTTAACAATAGTTTTTTTAAAAAATATATTATTTTAGATCATGGCTTGAAAAAACCCTGCTTCTTTATTTTAATATTGCTTTTTAGAAACTTCTTGCTAGTGTAAATGCCATTCATTTATAGGAAATTTGTCATTATTTCTAATACCCTTTAAGATAATTTCATTGTGTTTGGTATCCGTTTAGGGTGTTTTTTGTTTGTTTGTTTGTTTTGGGGGAGAACAATAAAGCTCCAGTCTCTGAGCAAGTTTTTCAAGTATACAGTACAGTATTGGTAACTGTAGTCACCAAAGACAGTGTTTGCATGAGCTATCAGTGAAGTTCCAGCTGTCAAGACTTGCGGTGTATAATGAGTTTCCCTCTCCAGATGTCTCAGATCTGTAATGGTATAGCTTACTTCTCCCAGCATTTAACACCCCCCTTTTTTTTCCAAAAAAACAATAGTTTTTCTGCAAATGTGGAACCTTTGCACTCTGCCTGATGTCTGCAGATGTGTATTACCTTGCATCAATCTGAATGTTCTATATCAGACCTATTATCTAATTTTCATTATCACCGTCATACCCTGTGACTGAGGATCAGTGCAGGGACAAGCAGTGGCCCTCCTTACACTCCCAGCCGAATGTATCACATGTAAAGTAACTGAAAACAGTGTGTTTACTTTGCAAATACTGCTTTAAGACATATCTCTTAGTATCTTAGGTATATTCATTCAAGTTTAGCCCTCGTGGATTTCCCAATGACATCATCCAGACTTATTCTCTACTTCTGTTAAAAAAATGTTTATTTCATTTTGGTTAGTTTTTATTCTGCTTGTATTTATTCTTTATTTTTAAAGAGAAGAACAAGATGCAAGACTGAAATATTTTATGCACTCTACATAGCATTAACCCTCTATGTCACTTAGAATGCCTGTGTGTGTGTAGAAAAATTTGAGTTGTATGTTCCTTTTTATTATTTTGCCACTATGTCAATAAGTAGAACTTGTGTTCTTTTCCCCTAATTAACAAAAATAATGTGTGGGTATGCTTGTCTGACTTTAAAACTCAAAACAAGTTTATTTTATTATAAAACGTTTAATTTTGTGAAATCAGACATAGATGTTAAAATATCTTTAAATAAATTTAAAGTAATCTAACTTCTCTTAAATTCAATTAAGTACCTTTTTTTGTTTGTTTTTTGATGGTCTCAAATCTTGTTCCATGTCATTTTTCTCAGAAAAAATTAGTAACACAACATCAGCTTTATCAATTCAAAATTTTCAGGGCCTTACCTCTGCTTGATCTTAAAGTCTTAGCTCATTTTATTTGTAGACTACACCGTCTTTATTTCAACTAAGTTCTCAAAGATTTCAAAACTGAGTGGTTAAACAAATTACTTATCACCTATTTCTGTGAACTACTCCTACTCAGGGTGCTAGAGATGATACCACTTCATGGTTTTAAGTTTCAAATCAAAGACATACTAAATCAGATTGAATTATTCAGTGCTTTTCATTGGCCACCTGACATTACGGTCCAATCAGTAACATTTTAAAGCCTGTATGTTACATCAAAAAAAGCTCAAGGCATAGTTCAATTGGACTTCTAATTTAAAATAAGGAAAGAAGAAGGGAAGGAAGGAAGGAAGGAAGGAAGGAAGGAAGGAAGGAAGGAAGGAAGGAAAGAGGGGCTGCAAAAAGCTAAAGATAACTTATAGCTTGTCATCAGCATGAACTCTGTTACTGTATTATTTCATTAAATAAGAAAGCCAAAATTTGTGCTACACAGGAAGTGTAAATGGAAGCGGATCAATGTTATCCATATATTATTTGTAGGTTCTGGCTTCAACTGAACCAGTCAAACCCAACTTACACTGTATGGCATGACCTGATCATCTTCCTGCAGCTCTTTAAACATGGTTCATTTTTTCTGTTTATGGCTTTATTTCTTTGGTGACTTCTAGATAGTCTTATTGACCATCAGTCCCTTATTCACCCTCAGTTTATTATTTCTATGTTTATTTTTTTTTTGGAACTTTGTATTTTAGGAAAGACCCCAGTGGCACGTGTGTCCTTTTGTTTTACTCTGTCACTAAGGTTGATGTAGGGCCATCAATCCTCTGTCTTTAGAATTATACATAAACTATGACTTACACCCAGTTTGTCATAAAAAGTTGTGTACATTTTCATTCAACATCTCTTTCCACTTTGCTAATTCACCTTCTTGTCTTCTGAATGCTTCACCAACTGGACTTTGCCAGCCACCTCCCCTTTCTAGGAAGAACTTTCTTTTTCAACAGTGTGGATGAGACTGCTTTTCTAACTGCAGTGATGGAGCTAATCGGAACTTCATAAATCTTTACAAAATTACAACTCAATACACTGATTGCCATCAGTGAGGTACCACTAAAACTATTCTTGTCAAAATAAATCTTTGTGTGGAGATGGGCAGAGATGTGGGGATGGACTTTTCAAAAAGAGTACCATCAGTTTGTTTCAGTTTTTAGAATACATTTTTGGGAGTGGTAGAACGGAATATAACTGGACATTCAATGAGTTGGAATAAAACAAACCATTATCACTTCAATCTATAATTATAAGAACTTCGGAAGAACCGGTAACCTGAGTTTAAACTATAGTATCAGTTCACAAAATTCCCCCTTTTGATAATACACCATATTTCCCAAGAGGAACACTCTTTAGTCAGATGGGTCCTGTATTTACAAGTGGCTTTTGAGACTGGTGATTTTATACCAGCACTTACAGTAACTAGAGTAGAATTATTGGTTCCCTAGCTTTGTGTCTCTCTATATGTCAACAGGGGGAAAAAAGACTTAAATAATCAAAACTGATGACTCTAGAGGGAATCCCTCTAATGCCTCGGCTGTTATTAAGGCACCCTGAGGGGAACACTTTAATGGCTCTTGACCATGGCCCTTCTTTCCTGGCCAATCTGCCCCCTGGATCTTCTGTAAGACCAGTATAGCCTCTGTTAACTTTAACTCAGCAGCAAGGCACCTTTTTCTGGCTCCATAGTTCCTACTTAAACAAAACAAAACAAAAACAGACAATACATATCTTGAGTATTCTCAAAAAAGGCCTCAGTTAAAACAGAAGACAGAAATTTGAGACCAATTGATACATCATGTTTTAATTCAGCAGAACTGTCTTCTATTTCTTTATAAGAAGTGATCACTTGGTAATGAGAAACCTGGAAAAGTTGTGAAAATTAATTTGCTTCTCCAAGAACATTCAATAAATCATCCTTTATAATTTTACTGAAAAGGCAGGAGAGTGATGGTCTGCATATCATCCACTATTCTCTTCACTGCAATGAGGTTAAAAGATAGCATGAACAATGACGGTTAATACTATACTTACATTTTAACGAAAAAGTTAAGGTTTACAATGCATTTTATTTTACCCAGAAGTGGGTAGCCATTATTCCAACTGTATTCATTTGGGTGAGTTTGAGGATTAAATTCTTAATGTCTGGAACACAGTGTACAGTCGTATCTTATTCTCCCTGTCTTGTGGGTAGCTGATCCACAACATTTTGAAGAGTTGTGTCACAGATTCATGGGTATAAATGTGAAATAAGTGAAAACTAGTATGTATCTTGAGTATCCCTTATTCTTGCTAGACACAATGTCACGGACGCAGTACCTCTCACAAAGTTTTATGGATCACTTCATCACTAATAATCTATGGCAGAGTTTCAAATTACTATAACTCCTAGGAGGATTTCTACTTTGGGATTCCTGGAGCCTAGGTTTCCGTTCTTCCTACAAATTACAGGTTTCATTATTTGGTGACAAATCAACTATTTAGTAGCAATATGTGCTGAATGGTTGTGTAAAGTAAAGCTAATAAGCTTTGTAGGATGGAAAGTATTTAAAAATGATTGTCAAAGGAGTCTATTTTTAACAATGGAAACAGAAACTAGCAAGTGCATATGTTGAAGGCAGTAACATGCAGAAGCTCTTTGTGGTTTCAGAGGAAAAGATGGCAACCCAACCTCAGCATGATAGCATGTTTAACTTCAGTAGGATACTGTTTGTATTTTTAGGTACAGTGTGATTTTACGTTGCTGAGTTGGTAATTACAGTTAAGGTAGGTGCATGAATAATTCCTGATAAATGAAAATAAATATATATACAAATGATACTACTAGTCAGGTATTTAGGAATTACAAAATTTGTTCTCTATTGTCAGATATTCATTTCCTCCAATGAAAACTGTAAAAGAGCACGTTTTTCAAAGCAAATGTAAGTCTGTCTCTGGTAATAGTTGTGTGATTGAAACTCAATGATTCCTTCTCTCCTAGAGGCTTCTAATGGAGAGAGATCATTATTGAAGCACATATTAAAATATACTCCTGATAGAACATTATTTATGTCAACATGAAGAATAATTTTGGGAGGTGTTTGTAGTTCTTTCTTTTTTCTTTCTTTTTCTTTTTTTCTTTTTTTGAGACAGAGTCTCATGCTGTGTGCCCAGGCTACAGTGTAGTGGCATGATCTCAACTCACTGCAAGCTGCACCTCCCAGGTTCATGCCATTCTCTGCTCCAGCCTCCTCAGTAGCTGGGACTACAGGTGCCTGCCACCATGCCCGGCTAATTTTTTGTATTTTTAGTCGAGATGGGGTTTCACCATAGCCAAGATGGCCTCGATCTCCTGACCTCATGATCCACCAGCCTCGGTCTACCAAAGTGTTGAGATTACAGGCGTCAGCCACTGTTGACAGCCGTAGTTATTTCAATGTCCACTGAACAATTTTAACTTAAGGTAACTTCATACTTCTTTGTAACATTAAAGAGTCTTTGGATTCAACTTTAAATCTTGAAATACAGTGGATTTAACTATTTAGAGTAAGAACAGATATATTTAAGGTAATAATATTGGTTGAAATGTCTAATTTATGACAGAAGATATGCTGTCTACACTCATCATTTCGCAGTTACTTTGTGAAAGATCACAAAGCACCACAGGCAAATCCAGCATTCTATCCTTGGGCCCTGATTGTCCTTGCTGGGCCTTCCTCCAAATCCTGACTGCCTCACTGCCATTCAAGTTTGAGTGGGGCACTGTACGTGGTATAAGCAATGGATGCTGACCTGCAACCGCAAAAAAAAATTAATCATATAATTTTATTCACTTTCTTTGTACCACATTATGATACCAATCCCGCTGAGCATAGCTCACTTTCTGCAATCCTCTTGAATGAGGTCTTTGTTAATAATTTTCCATGGAAACTTACTTGATCTGGGCAATATATTCCTCTCGGAAATTTAGTTGTGTGTATCTATGATGTGTTGATTAATTCTTGGCTCTTTCACTACAAGCAACTATCCATGAGATCGACATAAAATTAGCAAAATGTCAGGTGCGATGGCTTCCATCTGTAATCCCAGCACTTTGTGAGGCTAAGTCGGGTGAATCACTTGAGGTCAGCAGTTCAAGACCAGCCTGGGTTATATGGCAGAACACCCATCTCTACTACAAATAAAAAATTAGCCAGGCATGGTGGTGAATGCCTTTGGTCCAGCTACTCAGGAGGCTGAGACAGAAGAATCACTTGAACCCAAAGTTGGAGATTGCAGTGAGGCAGGATCACACCACTGCACTCCTGCCTGGGTGAGGCAGTGAGACTCTGTCTCAAAAATATATATAAAATAAAATATAAAAGCTCCAGGATATCCTTTTGCCTATGTATCATACATCATCATTTAAAGAACAGGACAAATATTTATAAAAATGAGACTATACCAACAATAATATTAAATATAAAAGTTTAATTTTGAAGTTCATTATTAAAGGGAGCCTTAAAAAGGTGCAGAACGGATAAAATTCAAATGTGTATCTTTATTAAAATAGGAAGAAATTTTTGGATCAAAAGATGAATTAATGTCAAAATGTGTCAGATGGAATGTCATACATATGATACTGTGTATTAATACTTTGACACATGTGTTTGGCAATTTTGTGACAAAAAGAAAAAACATATCAACTTACCCTGTATTTAACAAAAAAATCCCTTCATTATATGATATAAACATATTTATATTATATTAAATTAAATATTTAACGTTTAAATATTTAATATTTCATGTTTATTTGAATTATAATAAATTTGCCATGGAGACTGTGTGTGTGTGTGTGTGTGTGTGTGTGTGTGTGTGTGTGTTTGAGAGAGGAGATTTCTTATTGTAAAATGGATTATGTTACAAAATTATTTCAAATTAGTTATTTTCAAAAGGGTATACATTTTCCCATAATAATAATACCATAAGAATTGGAAAGATACATAACAATCTTTATAATTTCAGGATCCAACATTAATAAACTCTGACAAGCAAGACATAATTCACTTTGACTTTAAAATGAATAGGAGGATGGTTAGAAGAGTGGAGCAATGCAGCCAGTGGAAGTGAGAAAAAAATCTGACAACTGAACACCTCTAAAATCAGGAGTGATGGATAAAGCTTTCTGGGTATGGATTTCTAGTAGAAAGGTAACATGTACAAGTCACTTGCAATCTAATTGTTCATGGAATAAAAACCACCTAACAGCTTATTATTTAAAATTAATAGTCCTGTTGCTTAGCACATATTCATAATTTCCATGGCAGAACTGTGTTTCCCGTTCCTTTGCTTCCTGTTAGGGGTTAATGGGATGCCCAGACATGAAAAACAGGGAAGGTCTTGAAATGTGTTTGGCAATTGAACTTACCGTCTTGCTTTCCTGCTTTTCTTTACAAGAAGAAAATAACTTAGCTGTAGGTTTAAAGAGAACACATTAGAATCGACTGAGACAAAACCAATTCCAACTAAGCTTAGAAGAGTAAAAAATCCCTCTTTTTCTGCAGTTACAAAGGCAAAAATACATGCTTACTATAAAATACCACCAAGTTTTGGTATGGGTAATTATGCAACATTATTGAGACACTAAATTGTATACTCTTTACCTAAAAAAATAGTTTTGCCAAACAAGCATTGGTACAGAAAGTGTTAGATTAAGGCCTATACAGGAAAATTCAAAGTAAGTAATATTAACAAGAACAGTGATGATAACCTCAGTAGCAATAACAATTAAAACAGAAAATTAAAAGTAAGTAATATTAACAAGAACAGGGATGATAACCTCAATAGCAATAACAATTACAACAGAAGTGTCTTACTTACATTATCTCATTTTACATAAAAAAGACAAAATTTACATTGTGAATTGGAATGCTTAAAACTTCAGCTTTTTTTATTTTAAAATACTATATTTCCATGTAAATGGGGTCCTGCATTTTTCACTCAAATCAGTGAGACATCTCTTTATTGTGGCTGAGCTGCTCTTACCTGTGTATGTGGGAACAAATCTTGTCCTAGTTTTCAGTTTCTTGAATGAAACAGCAGTAATAACAAAAATGAGAGGTCCTCATCACTGACGCTACGTATGGCTTTTTAAAAAAATCAGTGTTAGTTTCTTTATTTTTTGGTTGGCCTGTCCTTAGCTTTTCAAACAGGCAATATCTGTCTTTAGAGAACATCTATCCTTGCCTAATCCTTTGCTAGCATATAATATAAAGCAGGAGAGAGAGAGAGAGTGAGAGAGAGAAACATACAGAGAGAAGCAAATAGAGAAACAGAGAGAGGGAAACAAAGAAACAGAGGGAAACAGAGAGAGAGAGAGAGAAACAGAGAGAGATAAAGAGATAAAGAGATTCTTCAAAAACAATAAATTATGTCTGCATCTGAAAGAAAGTAAAATGTACTGATGAGCTTGAACTAGGGAATGAAAACTTTGGTTCTATATGTTTAATTAGTTTCTAATTTCTCTGTAATCTCATCATGAGTCTCTAACAGGAAATAATATTGACCATACATTTGGTACAATTAGGTGCTCATATCTTAGATCATTCTCAAGGGGCTCACTAAATTATTTACTAAGCCTAATGTATTACCAATGCAGGTTTAACTCCACCTCTAGTGTAACTGTAAAATTCAGTGAGTAAGCAGTGCCCTGTGATCATCATGGGCTTGTTGTTAGACATAAGTGAATAGAGTGCCTTGCACAGTGTCTATAAGGAAATACTGTATCACCTTGCCCTGCTCCATTAAAGGAATGAGGGTTTACATCATATTCCACACAAGGAAAACATTTTTAAATGCTTCATTTTCCCTAAGGTAAACCACAATGACAACAACAACAACAAGTAAAACAGACTCATTCTGTCTGGTTCCAAAAATTAAATCAAATCTTGAGCTTTTCTGTAAGTTACTGACTCCCTAACAAAAATAATTTTATCTTGGCCTTTGAAATGTTGATATATAAAAATGGGAGAATATCATCTAATTTGACAATAATTCAAAGAAGTTATTAATTGTCCATCATGAACATTACAGCTTTGATAAATTAAATATCTAATCATTTTTTTTTAATTTTACAGCAAGTTCTGTTAAAACCTGTACTCCAATTAATAATTTTCTGCAAATGAATTTATTTTCTTTTCTAAATGACTTAGTCTCTGAGTCTTTGACATTTGATTTCCAGTAAGTGCCCATAAACTGTTTTATATTACCATTGTTATGAACATGGCAGTCATTTTCATAGTTCATAAATATGCATAGATTCAAATATGTACTATCTATGATAAACTTTTCTTTTTTTATTATACTTTAAGTACTAGGGTACATGTGCACAATGTGCAGGTTAGTTACATATGTATACATGTGCCATGTTGGCGTGCTGCACCCATTAACTCATCATTTAACATTACGTGTGTCTCCTAATGCTATCCCTCCCCCCTCCCCCCACCCCACAACAGGCCCTGGTGTGTGATGTTCCGCTTCCTGTTTCCATGTGTTCTCATTGTTCAATTCCCACCTATGAGTGAGAACATGCAGTGTTTGGTAACTTTTAAGCGGTGATTATTCTGGTGACTTTAGCAGAGCCAGGAGACTCTAAACAAACAATTTACTTCAGTTATTTTTGCTGTGTAAACAGTGATGCATGTTTCCTCCAAGGTTCAACTGAGCATTCAACTGAGTATTCTTATGACTAGTCCATGAAGAAACAATATGATCACCTAAAAACAAACCCAGCTGAAACATGCGGGAAACACTAATTTTGAATATATGGTTATCATTTATTGCATATTTATTCACCAAGCACTGTCTTGATAAAAACTGTAAGATATGTCAATCAGCCTTAATAGACTGACTCTACAGGAGTGACTAATCACTCCCCATAGGTAGGCCTTTCTTACCTGGACACTACTGTTTGTTCTGGATATGCTAACCACTTTAAAGACGTTGATGATTCTAAACACTCATTCAGGTACCAGTGCATGATCTGTTAGGAACTGGCTGCACAGCAAGAGGTGAGTGGCTGGCAGGCCAGCAAAGCTTCATCCGTATTTACAGCCACTCCTCATTGCTTGCATTACTGCCTTAGCCCCACCTCCTGTCAGATCAGAAGTGACATTAGATTATCATACCCCGTGGTGAACTGTCTATGCGAGGGATCTAGATTGTGCACTCTTATGATTATCTAATGCCTGATGATCTGTCACTGTCTGCCATCACCCTGGGACAGAAAGCAAGTTCAGGCCTCCCACTGATTCTACATTATGGTGAGTTATATAATTATTTAATTATATATTGCAGAGTTGTAATAATAGAAATACCGGTACAGAATAAATGTAATGTTCTTGAATCATCCCAAAACCATCACCTCCCCACCCATGATCTGTGGAAAAATTGTCTTCCATGAAACCAGTCCCTGGTACCAGGAAGTTTGGGAATGTCTGCTCCAGACCAACCACTCCAGAGAAAATATAATGACTGAGCCATATCAGCGACCTGAGAAACTAAAAATTCTAAAAACACAAAACAATCTGCACAAAAGACTACTACCACAGCCTCCCAGGAGAACTTGACCTGCTCTACATTCTCACAGAGATGAAAGGGCCCATCCAAGTAGAAATTTCAAGTAATCTCTAAGTAGGTTACCTGCTACCTTTTATGTATATAAAATAAGTACACTTTCTTCAGGTTTATGTGAGTATTGTTTCACATAATAAATCCCACTGAGTACTCAGACACCCTCTGAACTGGTAAAAATGCTGCCTGTTAACTTACCAATGTTGTTGCTGTCTAATGAAGGATAAGCAATAATTGTTTATAAAATTTTAATACTTGTCTTAGTGCTTCTTTATTTAATCTTTTAAAAATTCAGTCAGCTACTGTTTACATGTGTACTATTAATATGTCCTCTCTTTAGAACCTGATAAAAAGAAAGCTGGACATAAGAATGCTTTTACTACTATGGTTTCCATAAGGATAAACTTGGACAGAAACTGTTAGTACATTCTAAAGCATATATTTAGTAAAATAATATGCTATCATCAGTAATTTTATTACTAAGCTAATTAAGTTTTGTATCTAAGATGAATGGGATTATTAGAAATTAATTACTTGAATAAAGAGAATGCATTCATGTTTTAGTATGAACTTTAGTATGCCAATTTTCTAAAGAGTTCGGTTAATGTTACTCATTCATCATTCTGTTCCACAGTTTGTTGAGCATGTACTGCACATTTGGAAATTGGAGATCCATAGGTTGATGCACAATATATGAAAACTACCTTCTCTGACATAAAAAATATTACGCATTTTTATGTCAAACACAAGCATGATATGAAAGCATACGTTTAACGACACTTTCAAGTCTAAACTCTCCTGAAACTGACATTCATTCAAATTTCTCAATAAGCTTACACACACAATTTTTATCCTAGCATCCATTGTTTTCCATACCATTCTGCAATTAAAATATTTCACTGCAAAATCTACTCAATATTGTATTTTCCTCTGCACCGTTTCTTCATGCCAGAGAAAATAAAGTAATGTAAGGAAAAGCTACAAGAGATTGGAGAGAAAGTGTAACACGAGCTGAGCCCTGAAAGGAGAATGGAACTCCAACCAATTGTAGAAAGGATTCGACTCTCAGGCAAAGGAACTTAGAATCAATTTCATGGTAACCTCAGAACCTTCATATTTTCTCTTTCTGTCTTACTTTCTTTTGTGCAAGTCCTTTCTTAGTTTCCAGGTGTGGGAGCTTTGCCTGCATTGTTACTTTGATTCAGAAGTCATCAAAAAATTTTTAAAAAGAGTTTCAATCCAGCAGTTAATAGATGGAATATGAATAAGAAACCAGCAAGGATTGTTTTTATTTTGTTTTATTTTATTTTTTCCTACTTTCATAAAGCTAAGTGAAACACTTCAGATTTAAGAAATTCTCCTCTTTCCTGGAGCAAAATTAAGCTCTAAAGTTCAGAGGCAAGTAGAAAATCAAGCATCACTTCCCCTCTGACTACAAGCAAAAGAAAACAAACCTTGCAGCCAGGATAGCAGGAATCTGGCTGGGTAAAACCGCATCAAAGCTGCTCTGTAGATCAACCAGCGATGCATCTCAAGTGGTAATCTGGGAGCATGCCACCACCATAACGCTTTCAACCCTAGTAAGCAAATACCCACTTCTAAGATGAAATCTGTCTTCTCTGAGTAACCCTCAGAGCCCATAATGTTGTCAAACCAAAAAGAAAGCATCTTTTCTCATCCTATTCCCATTATAAATTAGACATGTTTTGTAAATAAATACTGCTTAACATTGCCTAGTTTCTAACCCATGCAGAAGTTTTATAGGTTCTAAAGTTATGTGCATTCTGAGATAGGTATACTAATGCAATACCTAAACTTGTTTTTACTAACCTTGCTTTTACTAACCTTGTTTTTAGACTCTCCCTTTCTCCCTTAATCACCTAGCCTTGTTTCCATGTGAATATGCTCTCCCTTAGCTATGAAAGCCAGACGAACTCCATTTGGCTCCTTCATTTACAAGATATCAAGGACTCCTTACCCACCCCCTTTCCTCAAGGAGTTAACTTGTGTAAGCTGATTGTCTACGCATCAAAGAGTCCAATTAACTGAAGCAAGCAATGCACAAAGCAAGGTACTGAAGCAAGCAATGTACAAAGTTCCCAGGATTTCACTCAAGAGATAACACCATAAAGCCTTGAGTTTGTGTTCAGCAGAGCCACCATACCTGACATCTTATAATATATTTAGAGCCCCTGCACCTGGAACTGTTTATTTCTCTGTAACCATTTGTCTTTTTAATTTTTTGCATGTTTTTACTTCTGTAGAATTGTTGCAACTGAGCCCCCTTCCCCTTCCTAAACCAAGGTATAAAGGAAAATCAAGCCCCTTCCTCGGGGCCGAGAGAATTCTGAGCGTTATCCGCCTCTCGGCTGCCGGCTAAATAAAGGACCCTTAAATTCATTTCAAAGTGTGACATTCCTCTAACTCGCTTGGGTACAACACTAATGGAAAATGTATCATGATATGCTGTATACCTTTTCAAAGGTAAAATAAATATATAATTGCAGAACCATATATTAATCTTTCAGAGGTATACAGAGAAATGCAGAGGCATGCAATTAAACCTATGATGAATATAAATAAATGAGAAAAAGAAGAAAAATCACAGACTGTAGTGATATAATAAGAGTCATAGTTGTTTTCTTTTACTTTCATGTTTGTAAAAACGTAGTAATTGTTGGGTACCTGAAAATGTGATACTAATTCCCTTAATTACATGGTACTAAATATTTTCTTCCAAGGTTTTTATAGCCTTTAGTTTAGACAAAATTAAGTTTACCTGATGCAAATCATTTTAAAGGAGAATTTGTTTAGCAAATACTACTTTGTAATTGTAGGAAAAGTTTTTTTAATTATAATTTGTTTACATTGATCAATTTTAAAACTAGTGGAAATTTTGAATAAAGACACTTCCTGTGAAAAAAGAAAACAGCTCAGTGTATATTATATCTAAAATGCTACTAGCTTGCTTCTCCTTCTAAAAGACATAAATCTTAATCATGAGGAATAATTTTCAAATATACTCTTAAGAAGTACAAAAATGGTTTGGGAAAACTGGCTAGCCATATGCAGAAAACTGAAACTGGACTTCTTCCTTGCACCACTTACAAAAGTCCACTCAAGATAGATCAAAGACTTAAATGTTACAACTAGGACCTTTAAAATCCTAGAAGAAAACCTGGGCAATACTATTCAGGACAAAGGCATGGGCAAAGAATTCATGTCCAAAACACTGAAAGCAACAGCAACAAAAGACAGAATTGACAAACGGGATCTAATTAAACTAAAGAGCTACTGCACAGCCAAAGAAACTGTCATCGGAGTGAACAGCCAACCTACAGAATGGGAGAAAATTTTGCAATCTATTCATCTGACAAAGGGCCGATATCCAGAATCTACAAAGAACTTACACCAATGTACAAGAATAAAACAAATAACCCCATCAAAAAGTGGGCAAAGGATATGAACAGACACTACTCAAAAGAAGACATTTATGCAGCCAGCAGATATATGAAAAAATGCTCATTATCACTGGTCACTAGAAAAATGCAAATCAATCCACAATGAGATATCATCTCTCTCCAGTTAGAATGGCAATCATTAAAATGTCAGGAAACAACAGATCCTGGAGAGCTTGTGGAAAAATAGGAATGCTTTTACGCCGTCAGTGGAAGCGTAAATTAGTCCAACCATTGTCGAAGACAGTGTGGCAATTCCTCAAAGATCTAGAACTGGAAATATCATTTGACCCAGCAACCCCATTACTGGGCATATACCAAAGGATTATAAATCATTCTATGATAAAGACATGTATGTTTATTGTGGCACTATTCACAATAGAAAGACTTGGACTCCCAAAAAAAAGGTGAAGAAAGGAACCGCATGGTTAACTCACTGAGTAATCAGTAAGTCATTGGTCCGCACTTGAGGTCACAAAGCTCTGGGGGAAGTTGGTTCAAGCTGAGTTTTCATTATAAGACAACAGTTATCAGCACCTCAGAAACAGTATATAAAAGTATTAAAACAGTTGCTTACGGCTAGCGGGGCTTCAGTTTCCCAGGTTCAATTAATGAAATTAATATAAACTTTGGTCATATAATCCATGGTTCCCAGAAGAAGGAATGCTAGACGTAGAACTCTGGGAACAAGTAGGGAGAAATCTTAAACAATGTTATGCACAGGGTCGTCAGGTCCCAGCATCAGCTTTAACATGGCGGGCTTTACTAAGGATGGTTTAGTCCCATTATACACAGAAGAGCCTAAAAATGAGAAGGAGGGAGAAACATCACCTGCCTTATCACCTCCTTTTCCCTCAGTCCCACTATCACCGGGCCAAAATAACAAAGAGTAAATGGAGGGTTTGCCTGAGCCCCGTCTTACTGTAAGTAGAAAAAAAGGCAAGAAACATACTTCAGCTATGGGACCTTGTCTTAAACAAGTGGCATTAGAAGGAGAGCTCTTAGCCTGTCCAGTAATGCAAGACCAACATGGTAATCAAGTACATGAACCCATTTCCTTTCACTCTTATAAACAATGAAGAAAAAGCATTAAAGAAAATGGAGCCACTAGACCATTTACAAAAGGAATGATTGGGGCCTTAGCAGACCAATTCTGTGTGGGCCCATGGGACTGGTCAATGCTAGCTAAAGCAACTCTGGAGCCTAGCCCATTCCTCCTCTGGAAGGCAGGATATGGACGGCTTGTGCAAACAACAAGCCAACCAGAATCAGGCAGCCGGGCAAAATATAATAGCTGATAAGCTCCAAGGGAGGTGTCCTCATGCTGATGTATAAAAACAACTAAATTTTGATCCCCAGGCCTTTGCTGAAGTGTCTGTGTGCTCTCAGAGCTTGGGACCAAATTCCCAAGACCAGAGTTCAGCAGAGGTCTTTTGTAAATGTTTGACAAGGGACTTAGGAGCCATTTGTTGAGTTTATGGATCCGTTAACTCAGGCAATTAAGAGGCAAATTAGTCACACCCAGGCCACTCCTATCTTATTGCTGCAACTGGCTTTTGAAAACGCTAATGTGGATTGCCAGCAGGCAATGGCAGGCAATCAAAGGAAAGGCAAGCACCATCCAGGAGCTCATATAAGTGCCTCACCTGGTAGGAACTGAGACAAACAAGGCCAGAATATTAGCTATGTCATTAAGCCCTCCGAAAGTGAAAAGGGAGAGAAACCAAAATTGTTTTCTATGTGGAGTGAAAGGTCATGTGAAGAGGCAATGCCCCCCTAGTGATAACCGAGCTAACTCAGGGAAAGAACCCTCTTCTATATGTTCCGAATGTAGGAAATGGAAACATTAGGCAAATCAATGCAGGTCTAAATTTGATAAAAATGGCAATCTCATAGGAAATCAGTCGAGAAACTTCATGAGGGGCCAGCCCCAAGCCCTGATCCCAACTGGGACAATGCCGACAGCTTTCCTTGGTCAGCTGGAAAGCCCACAGTTCTCTCTCTTAGAGCAGCCACTACTGGGAGTGCATGACTGGACTTTCTCTGCCCTGCCAAATTAGTGCTAAAAGAGGGAGAAAGCCCTAAAATGGTTGAGACTGGGATCTGTGGCCCGCTGCCTCTAGGAACAGCAGGATTAGTCCTTGGGCAGCCTAGCCTATCCAGTAAAGGAATTAATATGCTCTCTGGGGTAATTGATAGTGATGACCAAGATCAGATATTGGTTATAATGGAATATAAAGGTCTGCATATTCTTCCCCCTGGATCAAAAATAGCTTAGTGAAAGACTTTACCATAGTGAGACCCTAATACCCATGGGAAGGAAAGGGGAAAGGGAAGTTTTGGAAGCACAGGAGCTACAGGAATATATTGGAATCAATTAATCACTGATCGGAGACCCATGATTACCTTAAAACTTGGTAATAATAATTTTACTGGCTTATTGGACACAGGGGTTGACATTTCAGTCATTAGTGATCAGAACTGGCCAGAAATTTGGACTTGGATCACTGAGAAATAGAAAATTGTCAGCATCGGGGAAGCACACACAGCCAAACAGAGCACACACCCCTGAACATGCTATGATTCAGAAGGAAGAAAGGCAGTTATACAACCTCTGATCACGCCCATTGTTATACCCAGATGAGTGAGAGAAAACGCCGCACTTTGAGATGAATTATTTAAGCCAGCGGCCAAAGAGATGGCTAATGCTCAAAATTCTCTCAGCCCCGAGGAATGGGCTTGATTAACTTTTATACTTTGGTTTAGGAAGGGGAGGGGAACTCAAATGCAATAATTCTACAGAAGTAAAAACATGCAAGAATCAAAGAAACAAATGGTTACAGAGAGACAAACAATTTAAAAGACAAATGGTTACAAAAAAAGCAGTGTAACCAGGTGTGGGGCTCTAAATCCTTCATTAGAGTTAGATATAGATGTTATGCCAGGCATGGTCTCAAGGCTTTATGTTGTTATTTCTTTGAGTAAAATCCTGGGAACTTCTTACATTGTTTGTTTCAGTACCTTATCAGTTAATTGGGCTCCTTCCATATGCTGAGGATCTGCTTACACAGGTTAACTCCTTGAGGAAGGGGTTGGGTAAGGACCCCTTAATGTCTGGTAAATCAGGAAGCCACATGGAGTTTGTCTGGCTTTCCCAGACAAGAGGAAGTCTTACTTGTATGGGAAAAACAAGGCTGGGTAACTAAGGAGACAAGCAAGGAAAATTTAAAAGTAACGCATTAGAGTAAAAACAAGGTTAGGCACTACACCTATCCCTGTTAATCTCTGGGGATGGGAATTATTAGCGCAATTGTTGGGGGGCGGGGCACACTGCAAACCCCTTTCTAACAATGACCACTGTGGTTATTCCTCCGCTACCTCTGACTTGGCTCTCTCAAGATCCGGTCTGCTTAGAAGAGTGGCCTCTGAAGGTAGAGAAACTACAGAGGATTCATGTGTTAGTTGAGGAGCAGTTAAAGGCTGGACATCTTGAACATTCTACCAGCCCCAGGAATTTGCCTATTTTCATCATTGCCAAAAAGTCTGTGAAATGGAGGCTTTTACATGACTGATGTGCTATTAATGCTAATTTACAGCCCCTGGGACTCCTTCAAAGGGCCTCCCCTCCCCAGCAGCAATCCCTCAAGATTGACCTATAATTGTTATTGACTTAAAAGATTGCTTCTATACCATTTATCCGATGTCCACCCCTGTGTCCAATAAGCCAGTAAAACAGAACAGGAGAGAGAAAAATTTCCATTTACAAAACCAGCTATCAATAATGAAAATCCAGCTTGTCAATTTTATTAGAAAATGCTTCCTCAAAGGATGCTAAATAGTCCTACCATGTGTCAGTTTCATGTAAATCAATCTTTGCTCTCTAGTAGAAAAGAATTTCCTGACTATAAAATTATTCATCCTATGGATGATATTCTACTAGTAGCTCCAAATGGGCCAACACTTTTAAATTTGTTTACTTCTGTCATAAAGAATGCACAGCTGAGAAGTTTAGTCATTGCACCTGGAAAAGTACAAATGTCCAATGCTCTCTCCTTGGAAATAAATTGGATATCTGTTAACCTCCCAGTCAGTAAGACCTCAAAAGGTTAAACTAAATACTAGCAAATTACACACATTAAGTAATTATCAGAAATTACTGGGTGATATTACCTGGCTCCATCCCATTTTAGGAATTCTTACTAATAAACTACAAAACCTTTTTTCTATCTTAAAAGGCAATCCAGCTCTTGATTCTTCCAGATATTTAATCCCTGCAGCAACAAGAGAAATTGAGGAAATGGAGCTAGCCATCTCTCAGAGGCAGCTAGATCATATTGATCTATGATATTCAATTCAGTTGTTTGTATTTCCCAACAAACACTCCCCTACAGGGTTACTAGGACAAATGACCCCTGGGCTACATTTCCTAAAATGGGTTTTTTGTTCACATACTGGAAGTAAAACACTGTCTCTCTATATTCACTTAATTACTAAAGTCATCTATTCAGGTTGCAAACATTGCAGTCAGTTACTAGGTTATGACCCTGATGTCATCAGGATTCCTTTAAGTAAAAAGCAATTTGAAGCAGTATTACCTTTGGCAATAGACCTGCAAATAGCTTTCTCTGATTACACAGGGCAAATAGAGCACATCCTCCCTACTGATGAAGTCCTTCATTTCTTATCTCACACTCTGATAATAATGCCTATAAAAATAATTTACACCCCCATGCCTAATCCTTTAACACTGTTTACTGAGGGGTCTGCTAAACATGGAAAAGTGGCAGTCTGGAGGAGACCACACTATTCAATCACTTGAACTGGGTTTACTAGCATGCAGAGAGCTGCAACTGGGGCTCTGAGTTTGGTTGGCCTTAGAAACTTTTTCCACTCAGCCCATAAATATAGTTAGGTGATTCTGCATACTCTGTTTATTTGTTACAAAACTTTGAAACAGCACTGATTAAGTCCACTCTGGAGCCAGCTCTGTTTACTCTTTTTCTCTGACTTAAACAATTCTAGACTAATGTTCACATCCTATTTTTACTACACACATTCGAGCCCACAGCCCACTCCCTGGCCCATTGGCTTATGGCAACGAACAAGCAGACCTTCAGGTTATGACATCACTGCTAGACCAAGCCACCCAATCACATCAATTTTTCCACCAAAATTGGAGAAATTTATCTAAACCATTTTCAACTTACCCAGAGGCTAGCTAAACAAATTATCCTACAATGCCCAGATTTCCAGCGCACAGGCACGCCCCCTCCTTCTACAGGTGTGAACCCTACAGGATTCGAACCTAATCAGTTGTGGCAAACAGATGTTACAGACATCCCTGAATTTGGGAAACTAAGATATGTGCATATATCCATTGATACCAACAGTCATTTAATCAGTGCACATGCTTTGCCTGGAGAGCCTACTCAATATGTCATTAAACATCTTCTTTTAACTTTTGCATTTATGGGATGACCCACAAAAATGAACACTTTTAATGGTCCAGCTTATACCAGCTCACGATTTCAACAATTTTGTCACAGGTGGAAACTCCAACATTCCACAGGCATCCCATATAACCCCCAAGGATAGGCAATAGTAGAACACAGACACTTCACCCTTAAAAATGTGCACTAATAACAGAGACAGGGTAATATAAGTAAGCACGCTGCAACACTACTGGCACAGGCCTTATTTACCCTTAATGTTTTAAATTCAGATGACAAATTTCAATCAGTTGTAGAAAAGCACTTTGCTAAAACCTCTCAAGGCATAAAACCTGCAGTTTTATGGAAAGATGTAAACAGTAATGAATGGTGTTGAGAGGTGAGAGCGTGCTGGCAGTCCTCAGAGCCCTCGCTTGCTCTCGGCACCTCCCCTGCCTGGGCTCCCACTTTGGTGGCATTTGAGGAGCCCTTCAGTCCCCCACTTCACTGTGGGAGTCCCTTTCCAGGCTGGCCAAGGCCGGAGCCCACTACCTCAGCTTGCAGGGAGGTGTGGAGGGAGACGCACGAGCGGGAACCGGGGCTGTGTGCCGTGCTTGCGGGCCAGCTGGGGTTCCGGGTGGGCGTGGGCTTGGTGGGCCCCACACTCGGAGCAGCCGGCCAGCCCTGCTGGCCCCAGGCAATGGGGGACTTAGCACCCGAGCCAGTGGCTGCGGAGGGTGTACTGAGTGCCCCAGCCGGGCTGGCCCACCGGCACTGCGCTTGATTTCTCGCCGGGCCTTACCTGCCTTCCCATGGGGCAGGGCTCGGGACCTGCAGCCTGCCATGCCTGAGCCTCCCACCCACTCCATGGGCTCCTGTGCGGCCCGAGCCTCCCCGATGAGCACCACCCCCTGCTCCACGGCACCCAGTCCCATCGACCACCCAAGGGCTGAGGAATGTGAGCGCACGGCACAGGACTGGCAGGCAGCTCCACCTGCAGCCCCGGTGTGGGATCCACTAGGTGAAGCCAGCTGGGCTCCTGAGTCTGGTGGGGACATGGAGAGCCTTTATATCTAGCTCAGGGATTGTAAATACACCAATCAGCACCCTGTGTTTAGCTCAAGGTTTGTGAGTGCACCAATCAACACTCTGTATCTAGCTGCTCTGGTGAGGACGTGGAGAACCTTTATGTCTAGCTCAGGGATTGTAAATACACCAATCGGCACTCTGTATCTAGCTCTAGGATTGTAAATACACCAGTCAGCACTCTGTGTTTAGCTCAAGGTTTGTGAGTGCACCAGTCAACACTCTGTATCTAGCTGCTCTGGTGGGGCCTTGGAGAACCTGTGTGACAAAACTCTGTATCTAACTAATCTGATGGGGACGTGGAGAACCTTTGTATCTAGCTCAGGGATTGTAAATGCACCAATCAGCACCCTGACAAAACAGGCCACTCGGCTCTACCAATCAGCAGGATGTGGGTGGGGCCAGATAAGAGAATAAAAGCAGGCTGCCTCCGGAGCCAGCATTGGCAACCTGCTCGGGTCCCCTTCCACACTGTGGAAGCTTTGTTCTTTCGCTCTTTGCAATAAATCTTGTTACTGCTCACTCTTTGTGTCCACGCTGCTTTTATGAGCTGTAACACTCACTGCGAAGATCTACAGCTTCACTCCTGAGCCTGGCAAGACCACGAGCCCACCGGGAGGAACCAACAACTCCAGACGCGCTACCTTAAGAGCTGTAACACTCACCGTGAAGGTCTGCAGCTTCACGCCTGATCCAGCAAGATCACGAACCCACCAGAAGGAAGAAACTCCGAACACATCTGAACATCAGAAGGGACAGACTCCAGACGCGCCACCTTAAGAGCTGCAACACTCACCGCGAGGGTCCGTGGCTTCATTCTTGAAGTCAGTGAGACCAAGAACCCACCAATTCTGGACACAGTGTGGTCTTAATGAATTATTAACATGGGGGAGAGGGTAGGCTTGTGTTTACACCCCCTCAAGTCCTCTTTGGATTCCAGCACGAGGCACCAACCATAACATGGCATGGCTAGGGTCCAATCTAGTACCGGAATTGAAAGAGTTAACCCAGTAAGACCCACAGTTCCAGAGGAGGCTGAACAAATCCTGCTCCAGACACAGGCACCATTTACTCCAGTTATTTTGTTTCTTTCTATGCTATCTATTGTACAATGCGACTCACATAGGGTATTGATCATTTTTATACTCTCGCTTTGCCTGCAAACTGTACCTGCTACACTCTATTGGGCTCATTAAAATATGAGCCCTAAATATGAGCCTAAAATGGCCCACTTTTCTTTCACCCTGTCACCTGGGCAGATAACTCCCTTCCCACTCTGTAACAACATGACTGCTTGGCTAGGACGGATAGATTTACACCAAGTAGGGTCCCTCAATAATAACACACATTTCCCTAAGGTGCCAGATAACACTATATAGCACTACACTATCCTCTCACCGCTTCTAAGTTATAAAGGCTCTAACCCTTACTGTGTAACTGCTCCAAGACAAGTATGGGTACATCATGGCAAAAAAAGTGCCTTAACAGTTTTAGCTACAGATAACCTCAAACTGGGCAATGCAATCCATGCTGCTTTCCCAAATATTCCTTCCCGTACTAAAGAACAGAGCCAAGAAAATAATGGATTTCACTTTAGCTGGGAAGTCTCATAGTCTCTGGTTGGGCAATTAAAACATCTTAGAGTGGAGTCTCCATGGCCAACTGCAGGGCACGCTTACAAATGTCTTTCTGCATCGTAGCATTAACCACAATATTTTATAGCCATGTCTCGTTCCCCTGTAATTTGGGCCGATGGAGGGATGGGATATCCCCAGACCCTGAGTAAACCCCATACCAACCCAAGGCACCTTATGGCACCTGGGACATCTTAGCACCTCTCTTAACACCTGCTATGGGAGATATCATAATTCCAGGCTCAACTACACTATAGCCTTTATTCATACTCACACTGATCAGTGCCTGGTTTGCACTACCCATCCATATGTTTTCCTTACAGGAACTAACATTTCCATTACACCTGGAAATGCCACATTTGTGACCCGGGTGCAGGGACAGGCTTGGTTTGCCTCATGTATCACTGGTCATGATATGTCTAGTTTAAAAACTTCCAGTGTCGTGGTATTAAGGAGACAATCTGAGGCACTTCTACCAGCCAATTTGACATGCAATTGGCAAGATTCTTCTGCCCTTGCCACCTTAGAAAGTGCCCTGTCCCAGGTCAGACACAAAAGATTCACATTTACACTTATGGTCTTTACAGGCTCAGCCATAGACATTATGGCAACTGTTAGCATTGCTGTTGTATCTATTACTGAATCAGTACAAACAACTGCTTTTGTAGATAATCTGGCCAAAAATATATGTGATGAACTTCTCCTACAGTAAGGAAAGAGTATGCGGGAGAGCCACAAGATGCACTAGCATTCTGTCAACAGTGAAAATGTGAATGGCAACATAAACATACCTGTGTCACTTCTCTACCATGGAACCAATTAATGTATAGCTAGGGTGAGGTGAAACAACACCTCTGGGGAACCTTTTATAACAGTTTAACTGCAGACATGAAGCAAGTTAAAACTAAAATTTTAAAATCTGTTCACACCACAGATCTGCACACCCAACAGCCATGTGGAAGGGAGTACAAGATCATCTCTCCTACTTGGACCCTAACTCCTGGGGGATACTCTTTGACTGGAAAAGATTTTTGCTAATTATGCTCATGTTTGTCTTATGTTATTTGCTAATCCTAGGATGCAAAGTCTAAATAAGAGCAGTGACTGCCTCATCTGAAAATCCTGTGGCTGCACATATCTGTGCTCTGCAATCAAAAAACCCTAATAAAGAAAACAAAAATGGGGAAATGTTGGGATTCACTCAGGATGGTGGCAGAAATAGTAAAGGGAAATATTAGGGGAAGTTCTAGGGAATAGTCACAAACCTTTCGTAAGGCCAAAAGGTTACCTAGCTTGTAATAATTGAACAGATTGAAGGCAGCTAGTTCTTACCTTGGAACATTATGTCATAGGGTAAATACAAGGGACAATTGAGGCTTCCCCAGTTAAGTCTGTTTATCCTACCTCCATTAACTAACCTTTGTACCAAATGGCCCTCTCAGGGGGAGGTGGACCAAGGATATTGTCCCCTAATGGTATTCACTTAGACTACAGTACCTGAGCTTTAATCATTCATAGAACTACTGTCTTAACCAAGTTCATTATCCTCAAGTGTAATTACTCAAAGCTTCTGTTGGTAATTGTATACTAAATAAATGCCTGGAGTGCTAGCTGCTCAGGGTCTGCTGCAGTGACAAACCTGTCTTGGTGTGCAGGCAGTCAGACACAGCAGGACTAGCAAAACAGAATACCTGTGTGTCAGTGTACATTTTATTCATCTGTTGTTTGGGCCAGGGTCTGCAGGCAGACGCCCACAGCTAATGCCCTCTTGTGAGAGGCAACACCTGTTAGAAAACTCAAACTACTGGTAGTTCTAGTCAGGGTAGTGGAGTTTGAGTCCTACTAAGATAGAGAGAGTAGACAAAAACCTTTGGCTTCCTATTGAAATTGCAGAAAGGATACACTTTAGGAAGAAAATCTGGATGCTAAGAATAAAGAGTTCACAATGAGAATAAGGATAAAATCCAAACAGTCTCATCCCAGTAAAGAATAAGACAAAGGTTCTACAACATCAATATCACTAGCCAACAATTTCTGATAGAGCAAATGCCAACCTTCTTCAGAGAAAGAAAACAAATCCCTTATCTAAACATGCAACTGCAGTTCACAGAAAAATGTTATTACATGTATAAAGAAACAGGAGCATATTGACATAGGAGAGATAAATAAGAAATCAGACTCTTGCATGACCCAAATGTTGGAATTCACACACAAGGGCCTTAAAACATTTCTTAAAATTGTGTTCAAGGACTTAAAAGAAAAGATAAAAAGGCTGTATCAGCAGAGATAATTCAATATCTGAGAAATTTCAAAAGTAGATGTTTTTAGTAAGACTTGGAGAAGGCAATAAGGTCAGTGTTCAAGAATGTGGTGGGCAGTATGACTTCTAGATGCTAGAAAAAAAAAAAAGGGAATGGACTCTCTCGTAGAGACTCTAGAAGAAATGCAGCCATGCCTACACTTTGATTATAGTTTGCTGAACCCATTTCACAATTCTGATGTCCAGAGCTGTGAGAAAATAAAGCGTAATCTAAGACCTGAAAAGAAGAAAGTGTCAGCTCTGAGAAGACTAACAGAAAACAGTATGGGAAAAAGCAAAGGGAGAAAGCTCTGAACCAAGACAGAACTTGAAAATATGGGCAACTTGAATAAAATACTATTTACTCTGGAATAAGGGGTGGGCCTGAGATATGAGGCTAGAGCACTGGACATGAGCCTCATCTTGGATGCTGGTAAAGCGAGTAGTTTCTTTCTGCGACATATCCTCCACAAACATCCCTTAAGAAGAATGACTTAATATAAGATATATATTTTTAAAAGGGAATATTACAGAGAATAAATATAAGAAGGCAAAAGTAAGAAAGTGTTAATTTTAGGGAAGCTATTGCAGTAGATGAAGCAAAATATAATGGTGGCTTGGATTTACAGTGGATATTGAGAGCAGAATATAGTCTGACTGGGAATATTCTGAAACTAAGTTTAGCAGACTTAATTATGGATTTGATGTAAAGTTTTAAGGAAGGAAGAAATTGAGGATAAATCTTTGGTGTTTTGTCTTGAGTGGTTGATAGTGGCGTTTGGATATTTAGCAGTGCATGCCACTATTAGTAAAAGACTCAGTTGGAAACAGATGCTGCTACTGCCTGAATGCAAAGCTCTTGTTTTTTACTACAGTAAGCTGAAAAATCATCCCTACTTGGTCCCAGGTTTTCTCTACAAAAAAAAAAAAAAAAAAAAAAAGTTGTGAAACTGGTACGATTTCTCTCACCTTTGTGATTCTCTGAGATATATGGCTTTTACTCAATTCCTTGGTCTGCACATCAAAAAACATGAACTGAATTAATCTATATCCAATTTGTTACACAAATTTATTCATCTGAAAAATTCAACATTTACACACACATTTACATACACACAGTCAAGAAATAATGAGATAAATTGGAAAGTATATGAATTGGAACCACAAATAGAATAGTTTTTGAGTCGTGGCACTAGCACTTTCTGATATGTGTCATTATATATGTCATTTAACCTTTATGAAACTCAATTTTTTATAAGTAAAAACATATATTAATACTCACAATATTGTTGTAAGCATACCAATGAAATTACATTTTACTGTAAAATTAAAAACTAGAAGTGCTTGTTGGTTTCTCAGTGCTCTTACAAAAAATTAATCATTGTAACATTTGAAAATAAGTAGATGTGTGGAAAATAAATTAATAAACTTCTTTTCTTCTTCCAGTTTCAAATATAAGCACCAACAGCAGTTTGGCAATAATTTTCACGAAGTTAATTTTGCATATAAAACATTTGCAAAGATTATGTTCATGTTTATGAAAGTGAAACTGCTATACATACATCCATGTACACACACAATACATGCATATTGTATAATTCGCTTTTGCTAAAATATATATTTTAGATTTTCTTCCAAAGGAACACATATATCAATCTTATTTGCATTAATAGTTACATAATAATCAATATTATATTTATACCAAGGTTTCAATGGATGTACCATTTAATCTTTCTAATTTTGAGAAAAATTCTATAATTCCAAATCTTTAGTATTAATAACAATGATACAATAAACATGATGGCATATTTATCTTTTAATCCTGGTAATTTTATTTGTATTTAATAAGTGGTACAAAATGTGAAAACTGGGCCAAGTGCTGTAAGTACCATGTATTGAAATTATTTAAATACTAAATTTATGTAATATTAAATAAAATTATAACTATTTAAATACCAAATTACTTTCCGAAAACCTTGTAGTAATCACATTCCTTCTAGAACCTACAATTTCATCAACAGTGGATGCTACTATTAGTTTTTATTTTTGTAAACTAATGAATGTATTATCTATTATCTTAACTTCATTTTTTTTAATTTGAGAACTAGAAATTCTGTTTTATTGTTACCGATCTCTAGAGTGTTGGTTGTTGTTTTTTTTTTTCTAGCCAGAAACGTCTGTGGCTGTGACTCCTTTGTCCAAGATCTTGTCCAGTGTCAGGAAGAATGAGGTAGAATGAGGTAGCAGAGAAGTGAATGTTGAACAAGAAGAAACATTTTGTTCAGTGTTAGTACAGTTCAAAGGAACGGTTTGCTCCTCTCTGTAGGCAGGCTTTCCAGTTGAGTGTTCAGCTCTTAGCAGAGAGGAGGCCCTGGAGAGTGTGACTCTTCTCCATAGCAAAGTCATTCAGAGGTCTCTGCAGGCCTCTGAAGCTCATGTAGCCTGACTTTTGACAGTTGGCAGATACTTCATTCCAAGGAGTTAGGCCAGTGAGGCCAAATCTTTGATTTGAATTAGCACATAGAAACTAGCTCACTTTTTTTTTTTTTTTTTTTTTTTAAGACGGATTCTCGCTCTGTTACCCAGGCTGGAGGGTATTGGCACAATCTGGGCTCACTGTAAGCTCCACCTCCCGGGTTCATGCCACTCTCCTGCCTCAGCCTCCTGAGTAGCTGGGAGGCTGGCTCACTTTAATGCTCATGACAAATTTGTTCGCACTTTCTATTTCTTAGATTATGTAAAATGTTTATTGAAATCAGTTGGAAATTGGGATGTTATTAGATTCCTTCTCTGTTGGACTTTCTCACAGGAGTAAAGTATGACAGCACATTTCTTTCTTTCAGTTGAAACAAGAGTACCGGCCTGGCGCGATGGCTTATGCCTGTAATCTCAGAAATTTGGGAGGTCAAGGTGTGTGGATCACCTGAGGTAAGGAGTTCCAGCCCCCTCGTGGCCAACGTGGCAAAAAACCATCTCTACCAAAAATACAAAAATTAGCTGAATGTGGTGGCATGAACCTGGATTTCTAGTTGCTCTGGAGGCTGAGGGAGGAGAATCACTTGAACCTGGGAGGCAGTGGTTGTAGTGAGCCAAAATCATGCCCCTGCAGTCCAGACTGGGCAACAGAGTGAAACTCAATCTCAAAAAAAAAAAAAAAAAAAAAAAAAAAAATCCAAACAATAGAAAAAGAGGGACTCCTCCCTAATTTACTTCATGAGGTCAGCACCACCCTGATACCAAAACCTGGCAGAGACACAAGAAAAAAGAAAAGTTCAGGCCAATATCCCAGATGAATATCGATGCAAAAATTCTCAATAAAATACTGACAAAACGAATCCAGCAGCACATCAAAAAGCTTATCCACCACAATCAAGTCAGCTTCATCCCTGGGATGCAAGGCTGGTTCAATATAGGCAAATGAATAAACATAATTCATCAAATCAACAGAAGCAATGACAAAAACCACATAAATATGTCAATAGACTCAACACGTCTTCATGCTAAAAATTCTCAGTAAACTAGGTCTTGATGGAAAGTATCTCCAAATAGTAAGAGCTATTTATCACAAACCCACAGCCAATATCATACTGAATAGGCAAATACTGGAAGCATTCCATTTTACAACCTGCAAAAGAAAAGGAAGCCCCCTCTCACCACTCTTATTCAACATAGTATTGGAAGTTCTGGTGAGGGCAATCAGAGGAAAGAAATAAAGCGCATTCTAACAGTAAGAGAGGAAGTCAAATTATCTCTGTTTGCAGATAACATGATTGCGTATTTAGAAAACCCCATCGTCTAAGCCCACAATCTCCTTAAGCTGAGAAGCAACGTCAACAAACTCTCAGAGTACAAAATCAATGTGCAAAAATCACAAACATTCCTATACCCAAATAATAGAGGGCCAAATGGTGAGTGAACTCCCATTCACAATTGCCACCAAGAGAAGAAAATCCCTACAAATACAACTTACAAGGGATGTGAAGGACCTCTTCAAGAAGGACTACAAACCACCACTCCAAGAAATAAGAGAGAACACACACACATGGAAAAACATTCCATGCTCATGGATAGGAAGAATCAATATTGTCAAAATGTCCATACTGCCATAGTAATTTATAGATTCAAAGCTATCCCCATCAAGCTACTGTTGGCTTTCTTCACAGAATTAGAAAAACTACTTTAAATTTCCCATGGAACCAAAAAAGAGCCCACATAGCCATGACAATCCTAAGCAAAAAGAACAAAGCTGGAGGCATCATGGTAACTCAATTTAAACTATACTACAAGGCTGCAGTAACCAAAACAGCATGGTACTCGTACCAAACATATACATATATACCAATGCAACAGATCAGAGACCTCGGAAATAACACCACAAATATCTAATATCTACAAATATCTGATCTTCGACAAACCTGATGAAACAAATCAATGTGGAGAGGATTCCCTATTTAATAAATGTGGGAAAACTGGCTAGCCATATGCAGAAAATTGTAACAACCCCTTCCTTACACCTTATACAAAAATTAACTCAAGATGGATTAGACTTAAACGTAAGACCTAAAACCATAAAAACCCCCGAAGAAAATCAAGGCAATACCATTCAGGACACAGGCATGGGCAAAAACTTTATTACTAGATCACCAAAAGCAATGGCAACAAAAGACAAATTTGACAAATGAGATCTAATTAAATAAAAGATCTTCTGCACAGCAAAAGCAACTATCATCAGATTGAACAGGCAACCTGCAGAATGGGAGAACATTTTTGCAATATATCCATCTGACAAAGAACTAATACCCAGGATCTACAAAAAACTTAAACAAATTTGTGAGAAAAAAAAAAAACTCATCAAAAAGTGAGGGAAGGATATGAACAGACGCTAGTCAAAAGAAGACACTTATGCAGCCAACAATCATGGGAAGAAAAGCTAATCATCACTGATCATTAGAGTAATGCAAATCAAAACCACAATGAGATACCATCTCATGCCAGTTAGAATGGTGATCACTAAAAAGTCAGGAAACAACAGATGCTGGAAAGGATGTGGAGAAATAGGAATGCTTTTTCACTGTTGATAGGAGTGTAAATTAGTTCAACCATTGTGGAAGACAGTGTGTCAATTCCTCAATGATGTAGAAGTGGAAATACCATTTGACCCAGCAATCCCATTACTGGGTAGATACCCAAAGGATTATAAATCATTCTATTATAAAGACACATGCACATGTATTTTATTATGGCACTGTTCACAATAGCAAAGACTTGCAACCAACAAAAATGCCCATCAATTTTAGACTGGATGAAGAAAATATGGCATATATACACCATGGAATACTGTGCAGTCATAAAAATGATGAGTTTATGTCCTTTGCAGGGACATGGATGAAGCTGGAAACCAACATTCTCAGCAAAATAACACAAGAACAGAAAACCAAACACCACATGTTCTCACTCATAAGTGGGAGTTGAACAATGAGAACATACGGATACAGGGAGGGGAACATTACATACTGGGGCCTGTTGGTGGCAGGGTATAGGGGAGGGATAGCATTAGGAAAAATGCCTAATGTAGATGATGGGATGATGGGTGCAGCAAGCCATCATGACAGGTGTATACCTATGTAACAAACCTGCATGTTTTGCACATGTGCCCCAGAACTTAAAGTATAATAATAATTTTTTAAAAAGAACCTTTTTGAGAAAATTAAACTTTGAGAATTGTTGCCTTATTTGTGGTTTTGGCTTCTGAACAATATCTAAATGTAATCTCATTACACTTTTTTCAAGTGTTTGGTATTGGAGATAATGCTTGTCTTTAGGATTGAGAGTGGAGACTCCCAATTTATGATCAAATAATTTAGCATTATGCATTTGGGACATATCATATCCATTTTAGGATGAGAAGACGCTGTTGCTGAGGACTTACTGTTTAAAGTCACAAGAAGGAGCAGACACAAAATGCAGAAGTGAGTTTTCTGGATGCATATGTATATGTGGACCCATAAAGTGTTATGTCTTTTATTCAACAAAATTTTATTTGGCTTACATATCCTGTTTAGTGTTGTGGATACAATAAGGTTGAGGAGTCACTCCTTTACTCAAAGACTTACAGTAAAATGGGAAAAGTGGAGGTCATCCCCCATTTCATTTCTCTATAACAGTAAAGAAAATTTCAAAAATAAATTTCTAAAAATATGGAATTTATATTCTTATGCAAATTGTGTAATATATAGATTTAAATGTAATTACAAGATGTTTTACCAAAACTACATTATTGAGATAAATTAAAAATTATTTAATAATAGGAGAAATATAACATGTTCACAGATTAAAAGCAATATTTTTAAGATTTAAAATTTTCCTAAATTTACCTATAGATTCAATACACTCTCAACCAACATCTCCCCATTTGCCTGTATTATTAGTAAAGTTCATCTCATACATGAGATACCATCTTGGATAAGAAAAGAAAGAAGTGAAATGAGAAAACTCAGCATTTGAGTGTTGTGCTTAAGTGACTATTTTTGTTATTGCATTGAACTAAGACAACTTGATTTCTTTTTTATTTTTAATTTTTTGTTAATACACAGTCATTGTTATGTATTTACTTGATTTATTGAATACAATTTTTCCCTATCTTGAGGTTCGAGATGCTCAGGAGGAACATCAGGTAACTTGAAGACATAATAAAGAAGTTAACGATTTATTTATACCTCTGAGTATAATGCAGATACATGTAAGACTTCATATAAAGTTCTTAAAACATAGATCTAATTTGCTTATAAAAAGTTGCACCATTTTTAATCTTTTTAATATCAGTGCTCAATTCATCATCATTCTTCATTTTGGGTATTTCTATTATAAAATTTTATTGACTTTAATTTGGGCATGGAAACACTAGAACAATATCATAAATTATATGTCATCATGCATTCCACTATCTCATGAGAAATCGTTAGAAATGAAGTGCAGTGCATAAACAAATTTATTTAATATGTTATTTTCATTTATTTAAGTGTTTAGATCCAGATTAAAATTGATGAATATAAGCAAGAATCCAAGACAAGAATGCAAAGTTTTGACCAATGGATGAACATTGCTAACATTTTAATCTTTATTATTTTGAGATAAAAATCACGTGTTTTAGATTTGTAACCTCCGTAATTTGTAAACAGTCATGTGTGTGTTGATGTCTGTCTATCATTTATCTATATATGTAACTTAACAATAAAACTATAGATAAAAGAACTGAACTTTATATTATCTTTGCAGTAAGTAATATTTTCCTGGTCATTATAGGCTTTATTAGTCCATTTCATACACTGTGATTTCACAGTAATATGCAAAAAATATTTCTTAATAAACTACATTATTAATCAGCTATATACCTGAACACAAAGTTTGAGATAAGGACCAAATATTGCCATTTTTAATAAAATAGTCCAAGGCATCACAATATTCTATGTTCTAATGAGAACCATAGCTACTGTGGATTTAAAATTATTTTTAATTGCAAATATAAAGTATTTTTGAAGCTAATTAACTTCTGTTGTTTCCTAGAGACAAGATATCTTATCCCTTTTGCTTAGCAGGTGTGTCTATATCTTAGAGAAGAATTTAGCTGAGGTTGTGTTTGATTAGATTGATTAAATATGCATTTTACTCCATAAAGACAATTTTTATGTGTATTAGTTGGATACCTATTTCTAAAAACATAGAACTTTTCTTTATTTCATGCTGTTTGCTCCTGTATGCCAGGGATTTCAATAGGGAAACTAGCTGTCTTCTTGAAAATGTGAATATATTCCTAAACATGTTCACTACCTCATCTATGATATTTTGCACCGAGTCAATGCATTGCCCATTTCTTTGTGCACAGATTTTTTTTTTTAAATGGAGTTTCGATCCCATGGTGCAGGCTGGAGTGCACTGGTACAATCTCGGCTCACCACAACCTCCACCTCCCAGGTTCAAGCAACTCTCCTGCCTCAGCCTCCCGAGTAGTTGGGATTACAGGCATGTGCCACCACACCCGGCTAATTTTTCTATTTGTAGTAGAGATGGGGTTTCCCCATTTTGGCCATGCTTTTCTCAAACTCCTGACCTCAGGTGATCCACCTGCCTCGGCCTCCCAAAGTGCTAGGATTACAGGCATGAGCCACCGCACCCAGCCAAAAAAAATTCTGTTTTCACATTTAGCTCATACTGTCCATACAGTTTCTCTTCTTCTTGCCTTCTCTACTCAAGAGTTATGTATCTCTTCATCTTTCTGTAAAAATCATTTTAAATCTTTCTTCTTCATCTCCTATGTCATCTCTTCTCTGATAGAAATAATTGTCTTCTGCTGTATTTAATCTCTTTCTCCATTCAACCTTCATAATACTACTATACCTCTGTATCTCATAGCACCATTCACTTTCTATTTTCTAGCATAGTTAATCAACTTTACAAACATTCCTTGAGGGAGGGATATTTAGTTTATTTATTTTTTTCTCCCACAAAACTAATACAATAGTTTATGTGCAATTGGTGCTCAATAAACACTTAAAATGAGTTATTTATTCAGGAGACAGAACACTAATAAATAAGAAATACTAAATAAATTGTTCAACGAATAAATGAATTTTACTTTCCCTTTAAGCTTTTTAACCAAAGGTCATGGATATATTCTGAGTTCTTAGTTCGAAATACAAGAATCTAGTCTGATTAGATTAGACAAAATAATAATAATAAAGTACATAATCTCACAGAATCTCTGAAAAGGCTAGAGAGCCCTAGTTCCCTTAACAGGAGCAAAGCCTGAGCATACAGCAGATGCTGATATATGGAAAATACCATCCATCTCTACCAACTGCTCAGCACTCATGAGATGCAAAGCAGGATCACAAGTCTCTGTTAATGTCATCCCTTAGGCTGAACACATTTTAGCTAAATTCTACAGAATTAATGTGTGTATCTTCCTAGCACCCACTGTGAATACCTCTCCTTCAAAAATCTATTGCTTGTGAAAAACCAGGTATGTTTAGCAAGTCATGAAACAACTGTAGTCATTCATTAGTGGTCACAGACTCACATTTAAGCATAACTTTAAAGGTGTCATAGACCTGACACTTATTGTTCTGAATCAACATTGATCTCATGAAGATGAACTGGAGGTTGAAAGCCTGCAATTACCCACCAGCTAGGTACACCATTATTAGCCATGATGAAAATGTGTCTGGGTTTTAATGTCAGGGCATATTGCCCACCTGAGAATGTAATAATCCTGAGAAATGACAGTTCCACTTCCATGTCTTTATAGTTCCCAAAACTCACTCAACCACATCAAGCACATACCAAACTATCCTTGGGTTTCAATGCTGACTTAGCAAACCAGTGGACTGAGAGAAATAACAATTCAAGTTAAAGATGAGTGCGGTGGACATTAAGCAATGTAACTTGTCAATCATAAGATCAGAAAATAGTGTGACAAGGACAACCTCCAGTAGACAGAACCAAAGTATTTGATTTTGACATCACCCATCTTAGAAAAATATCCTGATTTAGTTTCCATGAATATCTGATGTAATTTTACATAGCTTCTCACTGCAGTAAAACAAGTCAGGTAGATATGCTAGTCTTTTCCTTAAAAGTGTAAAGACTGGAAAACTCCAAAAAACCTGAAATACCAAAGCCTGAGCATGGTGGAACTGGCATGGGGGGTAAATCATTTAATTACTATTGAGCCTCAGGTTCCGCAACTCCTTTTTAATCCTCAAATCTTTTAGACACTATTTTTTTTCATAAAATCATACACTTCATAAGAATTATTCAAAATTTTTGGCTACATTATATACCAGCTTTGCCTGAAGTCAGATATAACCATGTGGTAAATTTTTGTCTGGTGCAATATATCAGAAAATGTTTGTGCCACTTCTGGGCTGTCCCTTTCAAAGGAGGAAACGGTCATTCCATTGTCCTTATAAATCATCTGGCTAACCAGAATGCGGTCATGACTGCAGGAGTTGGAACAGCCTTCTTGCACCATAAGATGCCTGTTGAGGATAACAGAACAACAAAATAGAGGGAATGTAGGTTTCTGAAAACTTTGAGGGTTTGAGTTACCACATCAGCTTAGAATTGCATAGAAGAGAAAAATTAACATCTGTCTCATTTAAAACTACAATGATATTTTAATAAAACACAACTCATTGATTCCACTGTTGCTACTATCCATAACACTATTGTGTGGGCAACCTTTACTACAGAATCAAATAAAGTTATCATGACAGGTTATCAGAAACCAGCTGAATCAGTATCTTGCCATCCCCATCTCATATTTGTCAACTTGGATGACAAACAGATAAATACTAGAATTTAAAATAAATCTCAAATTAAAATTTAACACAGTTTCATCTGAACCATGCCTAGGTTTTGGTTTTTGCTTTAATTCTCCATTCAGCAGTGAAAGAAAAGGGAATATTTCAATAATTATTATACAATTTATTATCTATATTACTTATTCTAATAATTTAATTTTAAAATAATTTAAGAACATGCATATTTATAAAATTATTAACTTTAAAACTTTGGTTTAACAAAAATATGTATTCTATGATATAGTTTTTGCTTAGAAATATACATTTATGTATTCATGCATATTGGTATAAATGTGTCAATGTATATCAAAGAAAACTCATGGAAGCTTACATAAGGACTTCTCAGTTACGCCCTCTAGGAGAGCAAATAAAGATGATAGGTGAATAACTTTTATTTTTTATTATATACTCATGTATTAATTAAACTTTTCAATGAGCATTGGTCTTTATCAGCAGCATGAAAAGAGTCTAATACAGTAAATTGTTACAAGGAGTGGGGAGCTGCTGAAAAGATACCTGAAAATGTGGAAGAGACTTTGAAACTGGGTAACAGGCAGATATTGGAACAGTTTGGAGGGCTCAGAAAAAGAGAGAAAATTTGGGAAAGTTTGGAACTTCCTAGAGACTTGTTGAATGGCTTCAACAAAAATACTGATAGTGATATGAACAATAGGTCCAGGCTCAGGTGGTCTCAGATGGAGAGGAGAAACTTGTTGGGAACTGCACCAAAGGTGACTCTTGCTATGCTTGAGCAAAGAGAATGGTATCATTTTGCCCCTGCCCGGCAGATGTGTGAAACTTTGAACTTGAGAGAGATGATACAGGAGAGCAGTCTCAGGGGGTATGCCTGCAGCTGCAGGAAGATATATGGGAACAGACACACAACTCTCTCTCCCAGATAAGCACAACAAAGAGACACAGAAACAGTCCAAGTCTCTGGTATACTCTTCCACCCTGAATCCTGAGAAACTCTTAGTGTGTAAGAGACTGTCTCTTGAACTAACTCGGCCAGAAAACACTCTCAGGTTTGTTTTCTTTAAAATCAGCCTGTCCTTGACTGCCAAGCCACCTTTTGTTTTTCTTTCCTCTTCCTTCATTTCTTACATTTGGTGCCAAAACCTGTGACTGGTGTTGGGAGAAGAGGCTGTCTTGCAACCCAGGAAGCAGTGGGCAATGGCAGCTCATCCTGAGTTAACTCCTGTATCCTAAAAGCCTCTGGCCACACGCCCAATCTTATCTCTCACTTCACTTTTCAAGTAATTTGTGTGAGCAGGACAACTAACTTGAAGGGGCTGTGAGGCTCAGGCTGAGGCTACTCCCCATGGGCTCTAAAACACTCAGGTCTCGGGAATCCACCTCTGACCACCTGCATTGGGTATTTTGCTCGCTAACCCTCCCTTGCCCCCTCTTTCTCCATCTTCTCTCTCTCTCTCTCTCTCTCTCTCTCTCTCTCTCTCTCTCTTCCTCAAATGGCTACAGTATGGGAGGCCCTTTGCCAATTCCAGCCAGAACATCCAACATCAGATACTATTTCAGATGACCAGTGAGATCTGCCTTCTCCTGGCTTTCTCTCTGTACCGGAGAAAGTCTGGCCTGCTGTCCAGGTCCTGGGAGGTCCAATCGGACTAATGGGGCTGGGCTAGAGGAAATATTGGTACACAGCTCCTTCTCAGGTTAACGGTCCTCTTTTGGAAAGAGGATTCTGGGTCTCTGTCTTTTGTCTGGGGATGCCTAGAACAAAACAGACACCACCAGCTTCCTCTTAGCAGTCCACATGGGTGCCAAACAATTTCACGTCCCTACATCCTTCCCACTGGACTGCAGTATTAGCAACCAAGGCAAACTTGGCTTATGGCAGACCTTAATGCCAAAGCATTTAATTTTCTCCTGCAACATGGCCTTAACAACTTTACTACCAGAAATGGCAAATGACAAGAGATGTCCCCATATTCAGGCTTTCTTCTATCATCAATCCCACCCCTCCTCCTCCTCTACCTGTTCAAAAACTACTCTAACTGGTTAAACCTTCTCTGCCATTCTCCCTTTCTGGAAAGTGGCTAGGGTTAAAGGCAGTCCTTGCATTCATGCCCCCTTCTCCATGTCTAATTTGTGGCAAATTGAACAGCTTCTGGAACTTTTCTCGAAAAATCACTCTCATTATTGCAGGAAATTCCTGCACATAACCCAGTCTCTTAACTTGGCAGAACATTTACATAATTCTAATCTCCACCCTTACCTTTAATAAAAAACAGTGCTCAGCTTAATTAAAATGGATATCAAAGCTATAAGTATATTCAAAAGGGTTTTATGTTTTTCTCTTCATAAATCTTGTTTTCCTGAAAAAAGTTTTATCTCAGTCAAAATTACTTCTCTTCACTCTGTCTTGCAACTCTTGCTGCATGCATAAAAGACCCCAGTCTGGTGGCCTAGAACTCCCTAGAAAGATAGAAAACTTGCCAGAAATCCATCTTGAAAAAAATAACTCTTTTCCTTATGGAACCCCTGGAATTAAAGGTGAAGAAGTACCTCTCAAAAATCTTTATTTGTCTTCCAGCTATGCTTGTTTATTAGGCCCTAAAATTTGTTTACCTAGCCCTGCTCTTAAAGGGCCTCACCCAGAGGCCAATAATCTAATCTGGAAATTAGCAAATGGAAATTGTATGACTATTGAATCTTCTTCTGGTTGCCTGTGAGGCTATATATGTCTTACGTAAGTTATGTCTATTAAAAAGAACTCTAATGAATTAATTGTCCTAAGAAAAGAAAGCGCTTAAATCAAATATTTTTAAGGAAAATGCTAAGCAAAGTAACACTGTGTATACTGCCATTTTACTTTATTCTTCTGTTGAAGCAAAATTGTGAGGTCTCATTATGTGCGTGTGCTTTTGCTAGATGTCCCAGTTGGCTGTGCTGAGATGTACCAGTACTGTTTATGGTGTAAGTTTAAATTCTTAAGTATTTTCTCCTACCATTGTATTCCAAAATACACTAAGCTGTATTGCACAGTTCAAAATTTCGTTACTTAAGGGATCCATCTAGGCATTGTTCTTGGTCTTAAATTGAATAGCAAACACAGGACATGTCTGTTATCAGTATCTTAATTTTCAAAGGCTGTTCTTTGACATTTTAAACCATGACAACAGCTATTCACATTTGATGTTTATAAAAACAACATCTTTATTAATTTTATTATCAAGTATCATAAGCCATGTTTATCAAAATAAGTTTTTTGTTGTTTTTTTTTTAAGACGGAGTCTGGCTCTGTCGCCTAGGCTGGAGTGCAGTGGCTCGATCTCAGCTCACTGCAAGCTCCGCTCCCTTGGTTCATGCCATTCTCCTGCCTCAGCCTCTGGAGTAGCTGGGAATACAGGCGCCCACTACTGCTAAACATGGATTTGCATAAAAGTGTATAAAAATGGTAAAAAGTGGTTTTAGTTAAAAATTATAAGGCATAACTATGTATTTTGCTTAAGAATAAAAAAGTTGTCTTAAAGTTAAATAAAATAAAGTGGACTGTTTAAGAAAATTGTGAAAACATTGTAAATTATAATCCTATAAAGAAAACTCTGTGTGTAAACATATTAACTAATCTCGAAAGGGTAGAACGTCTGGAAAATATGGTAAGCATGATTATTTAACATGTTTAGGTACATAAAATTGCCAAAATAGTGTCTGATAGGTTATATTTTAGGGAATAATATTATAACATGTTCCAAAGCTGTATGCCATGTCTAAGGTTCTAGTGTCTAAATATGTGCTATTAATCACAATTAAAGTTGTTATGCTGGGTTATTGTGAACCACAATGACCAAATTTCTTTGTCAACTATGTTTCTGACTGTATCCAAACTGGACATTTTGGTATTTACAGACAATGGTTACTTTGTTTAAATTCTCTTCAAAAGATGGTTTATTACCAAGCTGTAAAACTTTAACAGTTGCTCTCAAAGGAGGGTTTTCACAACAACAACAACAAACAACAACAGAACTACAGAAGACATGAAAAGCTAAAATGGTTATAAATATCAACCAAAACAAAATGGATTAAATTAACAAAAAACACAAACAAGTTTTTATCCTTTTGCTTAGAACACTGCTAATCTGTGTCTTATGTTTCAGAGTTAAGAAAACTTGCCTTAAGCTAGCTACAGCCTTTAACAGCTAAGTAAAGCATATTTCTGTAAATGGAAATTAAAATTGGTTTGCTTCTCTCTCCCTAGTTCCTCTATAATTTGAAAACTAGTTATAAGTATTCTTAAACTACAGCAATATAGTTGTTTGCATCAGTGCAATAAGAATGTATTTTCTTTTGTAAGAAAACACAGTTGGAAAAGATGGTTATTTTACCAAGGCTTTGACAGGAATGGTATGCTCTCCTTTAGTGAATAAAACTTAACTTATGAAGCCAATAAAGCCCTTGGAAAACTGGTCTCATATTTTGTGTACACAGTCCTTGTATAAGGTTTCTGATCTGTGGTAAGTATAGAATGTCACTTTCTGACAGGCCAGGAAATGCATGTTATCTTAAAACCTCAAGAGGAGAGGAATTCACCCAACTCATAGGTATTTAATGATAGAAATCCATGGCTGGGCTGGGCCTTAAAAAGTCTCATCTCAAATTCCTTCTATAACACAAAATTCCATCAAAGCTGACTTAAAAGTCATGTGTAGCAAATACTTATTTTTGCTGCACTGTATAAAACTAATTAAGCCAAGTATAATAAAGGAAAGCTGTCCTACCATGATTTTTCTTTTAATAAAAATGGGAAATTGAAGAGAGAAAATTATGTTTCAAAAACTATAGCGCACCTGTTGCTAAATTCTAGTCTGCCTAATGTTTTTCAATTTTTATTATTTTCTACAGTTTAAATTATATTCATTACAGAAATCAACTCCTAGATACTACACACTCAAGTCAAAGCTGAAAGAGCTGAGAAAGCAGCTCCTAGCAGCCCATTAAAAACATCCTAAATATCAACGTAAAAAAAAGAAATTTTAAGCTGAAAATAATAAAATATAAGTAATTAAGTGAAAATTACTCATCTTAGTCCCAACGCTACTTTACCAGGTACTTTTTATCAATCCTACCTATCCTTTAAGCCAGATATTAACTTTTTTTTTTTTTTTTTTTTTTTTTGAGAAGGAGCCTCGCTCTGTCACCCAGGCTGGAGTGCATGTTGTACTATGTGCAGTAGGAATATATACTGTAGTACCCTAAGGGTGAAATATCAAACAAAGAATCTCAATTACTGTAGCATTTTGTTTAATTATTATCATCATAGCAAATCTAACAGTTACTAATAAAACAATAACACATGGGTCTTTCCAAACATGTTCCTCTGCGTGTCATTGGGAAAGAAATGTTGCTTTTGTCTCAACCAATCAGGCCTAATATGAAACACTGCTGAAAAACCTAGGACTAATGTTCTTACCCTGCCTCAGTAACCTTTTCCAAAACCTTTTAACCGACAGAATCATGGCCATTTCACAGACAGCTACCCAAAAATATCTATGGACAGTATTGCTCCTGCAGTCCATCCAAGATCAAAAAAACTTTCCGCACCCAACCCCGCATCAGCAGGAAGTAGCCAGAAGGAACATGTTGCCTCTTGTTCTTTTGTAACTAAAGGGTCTGGAATGACAGAACAAGGGCACCATCATCTTGGACAAACACTGCCAACTGAAGATCAGCTTCCTTTCTAACCTCATGCATTTCAAAGAAATCACTTGTCTTCTGACAACTAGCAGCCAGAAAGAGCAGACACTAAAACACAGAAAAGACAGCTGGGGTACAGAGGGAGATGGAGAGGAAGTCTCTTGGGTAATTGCCAAACTTCACCTTCATAAAGAAGACGTCAGTAAAACAGTGGGCCTTAATAAGCACATTGCTTTCCCTTCAGATGCACTAACATAGGGAAGCTAAAAGCAGTCGCGGGGGGTATGTCTGCAGCTTCAGGAATATATCTGGAAACAGACACACAACCCTACCCCCTGAAACAGGAATTAAAAGAAATTAAAGAATGTGTAGGCAAAAACTCAGTTGTAGGTAAGATAACCCAATTCTCCCTGAGGAAGAGAAAGAGCTGAAGTCCTTCAAAATTTAACTGCCTGTTTTTCTGGTGGCTAGTGAGCCTTATCTCTCCCTTTCCCAGGCATTGTGAAGAACCTGTTTTTCTAGCTGTGCAGCTGCAAGGTCACAAGGCAGATAAACTCAAGGCATAAAACATGTTTTTCCTTGAAACGTAAGAAACGATGTCATGCATGTCTCAACTGAATAACTGCCTTTGTTTCTCACTTCTGTAATATGCTTCCCCCCTGCACAGATCTACCCCCACCCCACAAAATGCTTAAAAGGCAACTGAACTCTTTGTTTGGGGCTCTGTCCTTTTGGATGTTAATCTGACTGGGTGGATGCACCTAAATAATAAGTATTCTCCTCAACCTCTCTGTCTCTCTGATTCCTAAATTATCCTGCTGCACTCACAGATAAGCACAACAAAGAGACACAGAAGCAGTCCAAGCCTCTGACAAACTCTCCTGTCCTGAATCCTTAAAAAGTCTTAACCTATAAGAGAGTGTGGCTCAGACTCAACTAGGCCAGAAGCCCCTATCAGGTTTGTTTTCTAAAACAAATCTCTCCTTATTGACTCTCAAGCTACCCTTTGTGTTTCTCTCCTCTTTCTTTAGTTCTTACAATTATGGTCTTCACAGTATTGTCAAAAGTGTAAATAATTTAGGGACATAAAGAAATGTGCATGTCATGAAAACTTCTGGTAGATCCACATACTTCCATTCATTAGACTATTTATCTAGTAGTTATTTATTAAGCACTGGTTATTCAGGCACTATACCTTAATAGTTCCAAGCATAAAATGGTGAATAAGGTAAGAATAACCTTTGATCTCTGTGTTTTCTATACTATCAGAAAACAATGAACAAGCACATTAATGCACAAAATAATTTCAGATTTTCTTAAGCACTGTGAGAAAAGTAACCAAGGTGCTGTGTGAGAAATAATTTGCTTGAGAGAGTGGAAGGTCATCTCCTAAGTCCTTCAACCAGAAGCTTAGGAAATTCCTCTTTGGGGGTAACTCTACAGTCTAGACCTAAAGGATGGGAAGAAACCGGGTGTGCAGATTCAGAAAAATAGAATTAGAAAAAAGACCCTAAAGGGAGGAGCATTGATTTAATATGTCTTTTTAGGGTACAGTGAACCTGGGAGAAGCAGGTTGAGGTGACGTTGAAAGATAGAGGAGGAGGGGAAGCCAGACCCTTCAAGTTTGGGTAGGAAGTTTGTATTTTATTCTAAGTGAAAAGGAAACATTTTTTAATAGTTTCAAGAAATTTTTGACATAGCCCCACTTAGGTCTACATAAAACTAGGTATTGTATGAGAAAAAATATCTGTGGACTAGTAAACCAATATATTATTTGCCCTAGTTTCTACAAACACTAGTTTGTAGAAGCCTGAGCTTGTACTATGAAGATCCTAGCCTATCTGACACAAATTGTAGATAATTAACATTAGCCAAAGTGCAGAGAAGGCACAAAAAGGGAAGGGATTTTGGGTAGACAGAGAAGAAATTAAATGAAAATTTTTATGGACAAGTGAGGTCTGGGAAGAAGGAAACCACGGTGGAGAAGAAAGCAAAAAGTAGGCCAGGTGCAGTGGCTCATGCCTATAATCCCAACATAATATGACGCTGAGGTGGGTGGAGCACCTAAGGTTGGGAGTTCGAGACCAGCCTGTCCAACATGGAGAAACCCCATATCTACTAAAAACACAAAATTAGCCAGGCTTTGTGGTGCATGCCTGTAATCCTAGATAACTCCAGAGACTGAGGCAGGAGAATCACTTGAACCCAGGAAGCAGAGGTTGCGGTGAGCCGAGATTGCCCCATTGTACTCCAGCCTGGGCAACAAGAGCAAAACACACAAAAAGAAAGAAAAAGTAAAAAATAGTAAAACATAAGGAGCATAGGTTTTTCCTGCTCTTCTGAAATCCCAGAGTCAGAGGTGTGGAGTTAAAGGGAAATTTTGCCCACTTGTGATTTGATCTCTGAAAAAGAACTTCACTATGTCGTGTTTGTGGCAACATAGGTCACCTATGGCACAGAAAAAGTAAAATGAAGATACGGCATTGTTAAGGAGAGAGCGAATGCTGAGAGAAGTTTCAGAGATGCCCTTATGTAGGGGGCCAAGGATAGGACTCTGATGTGCCCCCGTGTCTCCTGGAAGAGATGGAAGATAACTCAGCACAGTGCTAGGAGGCATTCGCGGGGCTACACTGACAAGAGATAAGGTAGTCATGGTGCTAAAGCCACCACATAAACAGTCTCATTGGGCATCTAATAGAGGGTTTATTTATTTATTTACTTTCAAATTTTTGAAAATAGAAGAGCACAACTAACTCCTGAATTATCCAGTACAACAAGTCACAAATTTATGCTGTTACTCAGAATAGAGCACGAGAACCTCAGAATGATCCAGAAATCCTACAGTGAAGATCTGGCTGAAACCAGGGACCCAAAGGTCACGCCAGGAGTCCCCATCTCTTTTCCATTTTGCAAGGGCAAGTGTTCCACTTGTGCCCCTCCTCACATTCTCATTTGGTACTTTGGGACTTATAAGTGGCACCCTGTAAAACAAAGCTCTTACCTGAAAAAAAAATTACACAATAGTGTTAGATACTATTAATTAGCCACTTAAAACCACCACCACAAATTAGTCAGGGTCAGGGCTTGTAAGGAAGATTAGGTTGATAAGACACAACCAAAAACTTTCAAGTACTGCTACATCACAGTTGTTCTATGTGTAAATCTGTAGCACTACCACAACACTTAGATTTAATGTCCTTCCATCTATTTCAGTTCATTCACCCTTCATATGTAATTGGTATGATTTTAAAAATAAATACTTAAGATATGTGTACTGCTTTCAATAAAGGAATCTAAAATGAAATGTATTCTGATCCAGAGTAAAAAATTTTATGTTTTGTAGCTGATGCTGTCTCTGCTGCCAACTGGCTCTGTAACCTCTGCCAAGTCATTTAATATCTCTGGGCATCCATTTTCTCCAGAAAATGAGGAGACTCGACTAAATTATTGCTGAGGTCTATTTTGATTTCTGAAGTCTTTCATTCATGGGAGTGCTAAAATAAGGACTGCTGAAACGATCATTATTAGATTGGCATTAATCATGAAACAATGTTAATATGTGTACAACCGTTTAGTGAGTCCAGGCCACTTGCCTGGCACAAAGTCAGTCATTTTATATAGGTGATTTCTAATCATCTAAACAACCTCATGAGAAAGTAGAAATTCAGAGAGTTTGTAATTTGCTGCATGCTACCTAGTTGGTAACTGGCATAGCCAGACTTTTAACCCATGTTTTTGTTTCTGAAGTTTCTAAATTATATATGATAATACTTATTTTCCATCTTTTTACATTGTTTTATTTGAAGATAACAGCTTCCAAGCATGTGAGAATCTTATGCGTCATTCAAGCTCCCCATTCTCTCTGAAGCTATTTTTATAGCATTGAGGTAAAGCAATCTATGTCCTGAACTCAAGAAGAACTCACTTAGATCATTCATTTAGCACTTATTTTCAAAGCTAACACATTTTTCTAATCTCTTGTAACTATCGCCTGTTTCTTTCCAACAAAACTACAAATGCTCTGAAGGAATGTCAAGAAAGGCTTGGGAGGGGTGTGGTATCAATAGGGCTGGAACTCAAGCGAAGAGAGTAAGGTGCCTGCTGTCAAAACTTCAGGAGGTCTCACTATCAGGACCTCACCAGTGCTGGGTCAGCTCAGCTCGTTCCTGGCCCTAGACAGCCCATAGCAGCTGGTGGATGGCTAGCTCACTGAGAAAGTCTGAATGAAGTTCAGCAACCTTAGTTCTTGGCTGTGACGCCCACTCCTTTGGCTGCCCAGAGAGACCCTATGTAGTGCCTGGAAAATCAACCTGGTGAAAATAAAGCTGAAGTCCAGAAGGCAGAGTAGAGGAAAGCCAATGGAAATGCCTATCTTGGTACTATATTATTATAGTATAATGCGTCACCAAAGATCGGAAACAAAAACTCATTCAGTCATTCCCTGGAGCTAAAAGCCCCGGTAATATAATGCTGTAAATAGAAAGATTTTTGAAGAAACTCCTTTAGATTGTTTCAGCCCTTGAGCTATGTGGGTTAGTGCCATAGCAAAACATCACACAGTTGGTGACACTTGGTAACATTATCAAAAAAACAGAAATTTATTGTTTCAAAGTTCTGGAAGCTGGAAGTCCAAGTCAAGATATCATCAGCTTTGATTTTTTTCTGAGACCTCTGTCTTTGGCTTGCAAATGGCTGACCACCCTTTGTGTGTTTACATGGTCTTATCTCTGTGCTCATGCATTCCTGATGTACCCTTGTGTGTCAAAATGTCCTCCTTTTATAAGGACACCAGTGAGATTGGAATAAGGCCATATCCAACTGCTTTAGTTTAACATAATTACCTTTTTAAAGCCCCTATCACCAAATACAGTAACATTCTGATGTAACGGTGTTAGGACTTTAATACCAATGGGTGGAGGGCTTGGGACTTCAGCCCATAATACCATGAGTCTGGAAAATTGTAAGCTGTCACATAGGCAGATACAGCTATAATGACCAGCAGAATACCATGCATGTTAATAAATAAGTATTGTTTATTTATGCTTCAAGATTCAACTCTGACAACATCTAGATAAGCAATACGTTTTTGTTGATTCCATATGATTCATTTAATGAATGAATAAATTTGTTTACTATCATCAGTGGTCACCTTCATACCCTATGTGAATAGCAAAAATTAAGGGTTAGAGATGTGTCTGAGATACAAGATATTAATTAACCCCATCTTTCTTATTTAAAAATTAGTATTTTAATTAAGCAATTGAACTTAAGCAATGTTACAAGTTAAGCAGATAAATCTTATTTAGCCAGATCTCTCCTTAGTAAATAAGTAGAACTGAATATTTTCCCTCACTTTTTCTCCTCTATTAGCTTTAATCAGACCTAATTCATATACTTAAACATGGATTGGATATTTATTACTATTAATTCCTACACTGACACTAGAGTCAATTTTGGACTGACCCTCTGCTTTCAGATTATCATAAAATACAATATATTGTATTCAGTTCAGATGCTGAAAAAGTTTCTGCATTATAAATATTTATTTTAAGTATTTATTGCTACCGTTATGCTAATAATGGATATTTTTAATGTTTATTCATTGTAATTTTAGCATTATGCATATTCTCATCAACCTGAATATCTGGGCCTTTCCCCTTTGCTCCTGTGCTCCAAGATCCCCTGTCTCCCTTTGCTCACATAGCAACAGAAGGAAATAGAAGAAGAGAGACAACAAAGTTCGTAGATTTTCTTGCTTTACACATTATGACCTTTTATTTTTTTATTTTTTATTTTTGCCTGGATTCTGTCTAATCAGATGTTATTTTTCCATTTGGCTCTAAAAATAAAATTGCCCATCACTCATCAATTACAACTAACAAAAATTACTGAATTGTTTTAACATGAAATTCAAATTGCATACTATACCCTTAGCTGCAGGCCAGCAACATGTGAGGTCAAACGGTGTAAGCCAAGGTGTTCAGATTTTTTTTTTTTTTTGGAATATTATGTATTCTTACATATTAAATTTATCTTTACATTATCTGTTTACTTGAAATATTTGAGTAACATTATCAAATATGATTAAATAAGTATATTATTATATCAAAAGTAATTTCTTTTTCTTTTTTTTTTTTTTTTTTTGAGATGGAGTCTTGCTCTGTCACCCAGGCTGGAGTGCAGTGGCGCTATCTTGTCTCACTGCAAGCTCTGTCTCCCAGGTTCCACCATTCTCCTGTCTCAGCCTCCCGAGCAGCTGGGACTACGGGTGCCCACCACCATGCCTGGCTAATATTTTTGCATTTTTAGTAGAGATGTGTTTTTAGTAGAGGCTTTCATGGTGTTACCAGGCTGGTCTCGATCTCCTGACCTTGTGATCTGCCCGCCTCAGCCTCCCAAAGTGCTGGGATTACAGGCAAGAGCCACCACACCGGGACTTACATCAAATGTAATTTCTTGCTGAGTTTTTGTAATATTAATTTCTAGTATCACTTAGCAAAGAGGGCTTGTGTCAAGTTTAAAAGGCCACAAAAGATGTAGTAGACTTGAATAGCATTGATCTAATCACTCATTTTACAGATGAAGAAACTAAAGGCCATATAGAAAAGGCGAAGTTGTAAACAGAGGAATTATTTTGAAGGAACTATCATTTTTAGGTTCAGAAGTTGAGAAATGTGTTCTGAACAGGACTTATGAAAACAAGTAGCTGTAATGGAAGGTAAACATGCATAAACCAAAAATATTAATAACTAATTAAATAACGGTGAGTATTGGGGGACCAGTAGCAGAGTTTGAAGCAAATATGAATTTCAGTTCTGTGTATTAGAAGATGAGGAGTCAGTTGAAAAATGGCATAAAGTTGAATGTGACAATTACATAGTTTGTGATAATGCTTGTTGGCAAAATGAACTGATGATGAAAGCACGGAGCTAAAAACACCTGTGAGGAAATAAAAAACAAAAATAATTTTTGATCCATTTGTAAACTTACTTGGCTTTAGAGGAAGACTACAGTAATGCAAATGAAGAGAATAAAGTGAGTCCATAGAATGTGGTAAAGAAAAATACAGCAGGATAGTGTCATATATTTATATAAATGATTCAAATTCTAATAATAGATTCTTGACCCTAAAATTAATCAGGCTGAATTTTTTAACAATAATAAAATATTATATATAAAGTTGGAAAACCATTATCAAAAGTGACAAAGAGCTTTAAGGTATAAAACATCTGCAATTTGGAATTTTTTGTGGGTGTAACACAAATATTACACTAAGTAAACTCCATATTCATACGTCCTTAAAAATTATTGCACAGAGTGTTGTAAAATTAATAAAACATGTTGGCCTGAAGCAACAAACAACAGGGCCTGGCAGGGTGGCTCACGCCTGTAATCCCAGCACTCTGGGAGGCCGAGGTGGGCGGATCAAGAGTTCGGTAGACCAAGACCATCCTGGCTAACGCGGTGAAACCCCGTCTCTACTAAAAATACAAAAAATTTGCAGGGCATGGTGGCCGGTGCCTGTAGTCCCAGCTACTCGGGGAGGCTGTGGCAGGACAGTGGCGCGAACTCGGGAGGCGGAGCTTGCAGTGAGCCGAGGTGGAGCCACTGCTCTCCAGCCTGGGCGACAGAGCGAGACTCCGTCTCAAAACAAAACAAAAGAAACAAACAACAACAAAACTCATGTGTGTTTAAGAGGCCACGTGAAAAGACTTTCAACTTTTGTACTTTTTCTAGATAGCCTGTCTGCTAGAGGGTTCTATGTTTTAGAACTGAGAGCTGGTCTGCATGTCAGCACATACTTGTAGTGCTGAAGTCTGTGAGAGTGGAGCAACATCTCTTTGCTTTCACATATCCTGTGTAGCAAATCGTTTGCCAACATAGAGAAACTCCCTTGTTTTCTTCTCAGTGGTGTTTCTGGTAAGAAAGAAGCTTAGTGTTTCCCAGTATGCATTTGCACGTTGTTTGGATGCTAAGCACTCCACCTCAGAGAACGTTGAGATAGCGGGGAAGCTCAGAATCCAGTCATTTGAAGTAGGAAAACAACTCTGATGTACTGCCCCTTTTATTTTTGTTTTCCTTAATGGATGAGGCCCCTAAGGTATTTTCAGCTCCGGAAGTGTGAATAGCAAAGCAAAGCTACAACATTAGCAGGATATGCCTAATCTAAGAACCATCTTAATTGTGGTTAGGGAGATAATTTCTTTGGAATTATTTACTTAGGTAAACTACCAAATCTCATGACTGCTTCCAGGTCCTGAGATTTGGTGGTTTACCTGAGTAATACATTTGTTACCTTGCTACCTCATCTTTCTTTATTTTAGTAGAAGCTTTGGTTTGTAGGAATTAGTGTCAACATTCTAATAATTATTTGGTAATAACCCTGTAGTTGGTTGAATTCTCTAAAAAAAAAAAAAAAAAAAAAAACTATGTTGAAATAACCCTGAGGACCTGTGACTATAACCTTATTTGGAAATATAAACTTTTCAAATATAATCAAGTTAAGGTAAGTCACATTACATTATGGTATACCCTAAATTCAATGTCTTATATTGTTATAAGGATAGAGAGTTTTAGAGACACAGAGACACAGAGGGAAGACAGCCATGTGAAGACAGAGGTAGATGCTGAAGCGGTATAGCTACAAGCTGATGAATGCCAAGGATATATTATGCCAATACATATATGCCAATACATATACTATGTATATGTATAATATACACAATATACATGATGTATATTATACACAATATACATGATGTATATTATACACAATATACATGATGTATATTATACACAATATACATGATGTATATTATACACAATATACATGATGTATATTATACACAATATACATGATGTATATTATACACAATATACATGATGTATATTATACACAATATACATGATGTATATTATACACAATATACATGATGTATATTATACACAATATACATGATGTATATTATACACAATATACATGATGTATATTATACACAATATACATGATGTATATTATACACAATATACATGATGTATATTATACACAATATACATGATGTATATTATACACAATATACATGATGTATATTATACACAATATACATGATGTATATTATACACAATATACATGATGTATATTATACACAATATACATGATGTATATTATACACAATATACATCATGTATATTATACACAATATACATCATGTATATTATACACAATATACATCATGTATATTATACACAATATACATCATGTATATTATACACAATATACATCATGTATATTATACACAATATACATCATGTATATTATACACAATATACATCATGTATATTATACACAATATACATCATGTATATTATACACAATATACATCATGTATATTATACACAATATACATCATGTATATTATACACAATATACATCATGTATATTATACACAATATACATCATGTATATTATACACAATATACATCATGTATATTATACACAATATACATCATGTATATTATACACAATATACATCATGTATATTATACACAATATACATCATGTATATTATACACAATATACATCATGTATATTATACACAATATACATCATGTATATTATACACAATATACATCATGTATATTATACACAATATACATCATGTATATTATACACAATATACATCATGTATATTATACACAATATACATCATGTATATTATACACAATATACATCATGTATATTATACACAATATACATCATGTATATTATACACAATATACATCATGTATATTATACACAATATACATCATGTATATTATACACAATATACATCATGTATATTATACACAATATACATCATGTATATTATACACAATATACATCATGTATATTATACATAATATACATCATGTATATTATACATAATATACATCATGTATATTATACATAATATACATCATGTATATTATACATAATATACATCATGTATATTATACATAATATACATCATGTATATTATACATATGCACACATAAACCCCTTTGAATAAATAGTATTACGCTTCCCTTTCCCTTTGTCCTAGCTTGAGTTGCCCAGAAAACAAGTCTGAGGTTTGTTTAGTGGGGTATATGCGATACAGGACAAGCAACACATGGAAGGAAGGAGATTTACTATAACATTTTATCAAGTAGGCCAGTTTGAAAGGGAATTTGGGCAATTCTAGAGTTAATACTTTATGGCAAATAAACTCATCTGTATGCACAACAACCTCAATTAATAACCTTCAACCTTTGTGCCTGAAATAACACAGTTTCTCCATAGAGGTCACTACTTCTCTTGCAGCCCACCCAAGGAGAGGCCACTTATTCCCTCACACTCCATATACTGCAAGGCCTGAGCGAGGTCACAGATTCTTCTTCGTCCCTTTCTAATATCATATCAAGTACACTTTCCTAAATTTATGACCCACTCCCTTTATTCTCACAATCTTCCTGTCCATTCCAATTCCTGTCAATGATTACAGTGAGTTTAACATTCACACAAAGGCCCACCAAATCATACCAGTTCCTGAAGTTCCTAGTTTCCAAAGACCTTCTCTTACACTTTAGTTCAGCCATCATCTTTCACTGTTTTCTCTTAACTATGTTGTTTCCTGATATAGGTTCTCACGCTGTTGTCCAGGCTGGAGCGCAGTGGCATGATTATAGTTCCCTGCAGTCCTGAAATCCTGGGCTCAAGTGGTCCTCCCATCTCAGCCTCCCAAGTGGCTGGAAAAACAGATGCACGCTACCATGCCAAATGAAATTTTTATTTACGTACTTGTTGTAGAGATGGGTCTTGCTATGTTGCCCAAGCTACTCTCAGACTCCTGGCCTCAAGCAATCTTCCTGCCCTGACCTCTCAAAGTGCTGGAATTACAGGAATAAGCCACCATGCATGGTCCCCTTAATGATTCATTTTACTAATATTTTAAAGTACCTTGCCTATACATCTCACCTGTGGAAGCCCAAATGTGGAACACCTCACCCATCCCCTGTCCAAGCTGTTTCCTAGACAGCTGGCTGTCATGTTTGAGCTGCATTATGAGCACACTCATGTGTCAATACGGTAGAGACCACCTTTAGCTAATAGCCAGTTAGGAACTCAAGTCCTTAGCGCAGCAGCCCATGAAGAACTAAATCCTGCCAACAGCCAGGTGAACGAGCTTGGAAGCACATCTTTCCCCACATGTGTTTTAAAATGACTGAAATCCTGGCTAACACCTTGACTGCAGTTTCGTGAGAAGCCTTGAGCCAGACATACCCTGATAACTATGCCCAGTTTCCAGACCCACAGAAACTGTGAAGTAATTAATGGTGTTTTTTGAAGCCACTAAGTTTTGCTGTAATTTGTTACTCAGTGATAGATCAACAAATAAACTAGCTATGCCCCCTTACCAAAGTCATCTCTTCTTCTGGCAGCTAAAGTGCATGCTAAGAAATTAATGTTATGTGATTAGGTAATTGGTAACTGGGAAGCAAGATTAAAATCTCTAAAAAAGTAGTCATAACAAAACAGAGAGAGATCGAGTAGCTGAAGGGAAGTCACATATACGCCATAACACACTCTGTAAATGCATCTGAATTTCTGCTTTCCCCACAAAGGTATCGTTGGTGCCATGCCTACTTAAGGTTAGTTCTTAAGGACATGGTGTTCTAGTCAAAGAGTACATGAAGGATGTGGTGTTCTAGTCATATAGTACACTACGGATAGAGTTACTCTGATGCATTCTTTGAGCTCTTTCTGCATTATCTAAACAATTTGGTGATACTTATTTCTTTGTATTCCCATCTTTCCCTTGCTCATTTTAATTTAATAACACTTTCATTTCATCCTTTTACTCTCACCAATAGGATGTATCATATCTCAAATACTTCATTGCCACATTTTTAATTTCTGCTATTGCTTTCGAGTACTATGATAATGATACTAACAAAGAACAATTGAAGGGCCCAACCTTCTGCAGTTAAGAGCTGTTCAGGAACAGGTCACTATCATAATCCTCTGTTCTTCCATGGCCAAAGTCCGTTGTTTCCGTTTAGATAATTTAGATACTTTGATTTTTCTCTTCTAACTTTTTCCTAGGATTGGCTCGCACTGTATTTTGAGGGCTTCTGTGTGGAATCTCTCTCTTACATTGTATAGTTAAACCACGTTATATACCAGTCTACTGGTCTTATAGCCTAGGTATGGGATAGATATGCATGGCATGAGTTCAGTCAGTGACATCCATAAAACATTGGTATAGTGTAGGTATTAATGCATAAATGAATTACTTTGTCTCATAGTGTCTCAGTTTACTGGTATATCAAATGGTGCTGATAATCATTTAGACTTCATACAGAGATTGGGATGATGAAATGAGTTAAAAAACTTAGGCCACTTAGAACATGGACTGGCACACAGAAAGGCAAGCGCGTTTGCTACATGTACTAACTATAAACCTTCTAAAAATAGGAATATTACATTTCATAAACAATTTCCAGATTTCTACATATGTTATCTCACCTGATTATGATAAAAAATCATTGGGTAAGAAATGGCACAGGTTATTTTAGTCGTTTTACAAACGACAAAACAAAGGTTGAAAAATAAGTAACAACCAGCATCAACTCTCCTAAGTATCAGGGCTAAATTGTGAATCTAGATTTTTTTCTGGAAACTTTTCTGAAGCTTCTTCTGCCTGTTTCAGAGGAGTCTAGAGGTATGAACCTATGAGATTATTGATGGGGACTCAATGGATTTTGATTTCTGCGCCCTTCACCAGAACAGAGTCAGCAGTGTTTCCACTGTAGGACATGGGTGGGGTGGGGTGTGTGTGCATGTGTGAGTTCACGATGGAAATTCAACAGAGTGTTAAAGTGAGTATGTGTGAATTGAGAAAAAATTGCCATAAGATTTGGAATCCCCTTTAGGCAATCATCATACTGTAGTTTGTCAAGCTTGGAATGATGTACTTCCATATCTTAGTGGTAGTTGTGTAGGGATGTTTTTTCCAGTATCAAACAGTAACTTAGTAATTTATGGACAGTATTCAAGAATGTTGAAATCAAGATGCTCAGGACAGCACTTCTCAGCCTTTTTTGAAAGTGTAGTGTTATTTTATTAAGAGAAAGAAAATGTGTAATCTTACCATTTGATAGAATATAATAAAACCCATAAAATAAAGAATAATATACATCTCATATTTTTATGGCACTTGAATGGGGTTTCTGATTTTATTTTATGTTTATTTTTATTAGTTTATTTATTTTTGAGACAGAGTCCCGCTCTGTCACCCAGGCTGGAGTGCAGTGGTGTGATCTTGGCTCACTGCAAGCTCCGCCTCCTGGGTTCACACCATTCTCCTGCCTCAGACTCCCTAGCAGCTGGGACTACAGGTGCCTGCCACCACACCCGGCTATTTTTTTTTTTTTTTGTAGTTTTAGTGGAGACGGGGTTTCACCGTGTTAGCCAGGATGATCTTGATCTCCTGACCTCGTGATCCACCTGTCTTGGCCTCCCAAAGTGCTGGGATTACAGGCATGAGCCATTGCACCCAGCCTCTGATTTTAACATAAGCTAACACGTTGCACATTTTGTACAATGCAATAACACAATTTTGTACAATGCATTTTCTACAGTGCATGTTGTACAACACAATAACACATTTTCCTTTTGTCTGATTGCATTGTACAAAAATGCAGTAACACAAAAGAAAGTATTCATACCAATGGAAGTGAGTAAGCCATGTGTTATTCAGTCTATCTGGGGTGTTAACTCTCTTTGTTGTCACTCTCACTGAGTGAAACATTGCCAAGAGAAATATATATAACTGTTATAAAATATCAGAAAATTACAATTTTTAATATCCAAAGAAGTGTTTTTAATGTCTTAATTTCATACCTTTTTTACTTTCTTTTTTTTTTAATGGAAACACACTGTCAGCAGAGAGCTATCAGGTCCTACTGTTTTATCTGTAGGACTGGTGAAAGCTCCACCTGTTTAATTCAGGCTTGTGAGAGATTTTTTTTCCTTTGGAAGTGGTGGCTGTTGCCAAAATAAGAAGAAATACCATGCCCTCTGAGAGTACAGAGCAGCTGGTGTAGTTGTCCTGATATTTATGGGATATAATATAATAAACGCACATTTGCAACTGGTTGGGGAAATAACGTAATGCTTCTTACATTTATCTTTATAATCTACTTTCCTAGCAAGTACTATCCTGCCGTTCATAATATATTTAGCAAATACAGATGAAAGAAGAAGAAAAAGAAAAAACTCTGTTACTATCTGTTACCACAGGGGCTAAGAGAATGGAATGCATGTCCTAGTTAGTTAAACTATTCTTTTTATCAAATGGAAAATAAATACACAGAGAAATTTTTTCAATTTTTTTTTTCTTTGAACAATGGAAGACATTTTCATAAGAATTAGCTGGGGTTGGGGTATGTCTGGAAAGCAGGCAACACAAAGTTTCTATCTGGGAGAAAACTAACATTATTGTCAAAAAAAAAATCACCTGTAATATGATCCAAATTTGTCAAGTCAGGGGTGTTACAGAAAGGAATTTGCTACCAGAAATTTGCAGTAGATGGTATTTCCACTATTCCAAACTATTTATTTTTGATGACATCCTCCTTTGTTTGAGCAGAAGTTTTATAGCATGTATTTAGTGAAGAGCTACAAAACCTTAATAAAATAAGTAAAGCATCAGCATGACAAAACTAGGGTCATTATGGGGACTTTAAAAATACTGTCCTACAGAAATCAGGCCTCAGGCAGTTTATGCAAGTAACAGAAATTATTCCTTAGTGTTGGGTTGTCTGCTATTTTATACTCTCCCATTTCCCATTATTTCTTATCATTTTTCCTGAAATGTCATGGGGTCTATTGTCCACCCTCTCAATGAACACCAGCATTGTGACTCTCATAGGGTAGTCGCACCTGCTTTATTCATTTATTAAATGATTAATTCAGGAGATGCAAGCATGGCCCACAGATTTGGGAAGACACTGGAAATATAAAGATGTCCAGTCGACATAGCAGAGTGAACTTCTCCTCCAAACACACAGGAATGCTGTGTAAATGAAAACTATTAAATATAAAGGTGGAACTCAAAAAAAATCACATGCGGGATATGAAGCAGGATCACAAAGCTCATGCAGTAAGCTAGAGCTGAAGCCAAGGTGGGCTTACTGTTTTCCAGCACAGATTTTCATTTTGCAGGGTGAGATCATGAGTTCTGATTCTCAACTAATGGTGCAAGATGAGGTTCTCCTGTCTTGAAAGGCACAAAACCTCCATATAAACTCAGAAACTATGAGACATGATCTGATTTTTCTCCTGGAGAATGGTTGGCAGCGTTCCTTCTGCATATCACTCCGGGGTGGTGGGGAAGAGAGTGGCCTATCAGCAATCGGAACACAAGCCTACCCACATGCAACTCCATTAGAATTTTTACTTTATAGATGGGCATCTACTGTATTGACAGTAAATTTTGCCTCCTCTCAGAGGTAAAATGGAAATGCATGTGTGTACTAGCATCCAAAACGCAGGGTGCTCCCAGGAAAGACAATGCCTACTAGAAATAATCATAGCATCAGAAATCACTGAAAGTTACCGTAATGAAGTAAACATCCATGCAAGAGTCAATAGATGCACTAAAGATAAGGTAACTTGAATTCATTCATAATATAGATAATGTGTTATCAAATATTAAATAACATTATCAAATAATGTTTTAATTTTTGTACCAATATTTTAATCTTCTCTCAATTTTCTATTTAAAAATATATAGACTCTTAATTCTCATTCATAAACATGTCTATCCCATGGGTTGCATTCGACTTCACTTACAGAAATGGTGTCAAATTCTGGAATTTTATGAAAGGTTTATACTTGCTGGCTTACTCATTCCCTCAACAAATATTTATTGAGAGTTATGCTGTATCAAGCACTGTGCAACATGCTAAAGATACAGCATTTAAAAAGCCAACTTTTTAATGTGGCTAAAGAGGTAAGTGGAGCCTATGAGGAGGCAAGGAGGCAGGTCAACAGGTAGTGATCATTCAGCAAGGTATATTAATGCCATAAACAAACAACACAGTACACAATGGTCTCGTGTTAACCTCACCTATACAAACTGAGAGAGGCATTGAGCTTATCCTGGTCAAATTTTTTAATTTAATGTGTTAAAAAAATCTTATAGCATAAACATAAATTAAGAATTTTCCTGAATAGAAGTCACTGGTCAAATTGGCCACACATGTCTCTTATATAAACAAAACTCCAGAATATATGGCAATGTCTAAAGAATTCTTGGTAAAAAGAATTCATATGGCATGACCAAAAATTTCATACACGTAAATTTTCAAACTCATGGAAAATTAGTAGAAAGACAACTTTACATATACCAGAGCTCGGAAAGTGTATCCCATGCTACCCTGTGAAAAAAAAGTTAATATAAAAGCACATTGCAGTTGAAACAGAGTTTAACTAAAATAATGAATAAAAAGATTGGGTTATAAAAAGATGTGATTCAAAAGAATAGTTCACAAACAAAACACACACACACACACACACACACACACACACTGCACACGGTTGTGTGTGCCTGTAATTCCAGCTACTGAGGAGGCTCAAATGGGAGGCCAAGCATTTGAACTCAGGAGTTCAAGCCTGCAGTGAGCTATGATGATGCCAAAGCAATCCAGTGTGGACAACAGAGTGAGACACTGTCTCAAAATTAAAAAAAAAGAAGAAAAAAATGATAACTGCCTGAAGTGAAGGATACCATGTCTATTATTTATATATTTGTTTATATTTATATTTATTTTTGAGTTGAAGTCTCGCTCTGTCACCTGTGCTAGGGTGCATGGTGCAATCTCAGGTCACTTCAGACTCAGCCTACCAGGTTCAAACGATTCTCATGCCTCGGCCTCCAAAGTAACTGTAAGGTACTATAGGCGTACACCACCATGTCTGGCTAATTTTCATATTTTTTCATAGAGATCAGGTTTCCTGGTGTTGGCCAGACTGGTCTTGAAGTCCTAGCCTAAAGTGATCTGAATTTCTTGGCCTCCAAAAATGCTGGATTACAAGCTTGAGCCACAGCTCCCGACCTCTGTTTATTTTGTAGAGTGGCAAATGACTTCGTGCTAAAGATTTTGCCATGAAGACTAGTTTCTTCATCGTTTGAGAACTGGGCAATATTTACTTGTTTTATTTTGCGCTTTATATTATCTAACTGGTCTGTTTATATTAAACATGTACAAGTGTACATGTGTGTTGCTGCATGACTATCAATATAAAATCCCTACTGACAAATTTCCTTGTACATTAGGAAACTAGGAGTGCAGAAGAAAGTTATCTGAAACAATATTTAATAGCAAAATGTAAGAAATCACCTAAGTGTGCACACAAAAAAGAGCCGATAGAAAAAAGAGCCCCCACAGTGGATATCATTAATACTAATGTTAAATTTAAACTAGTTACATTAAATTGCATACAAATGTAGTAAAAGTATATGGACACTCACGGTAATAAAAATGACCAAATTTTACTTAGTTTTACTTTCAAATATAGAGGCTAACGTGGTAGTTTACTTTAAATTGTATATAGTATAAACAAGCAAGTTCAGCTTTGTTACTGGAAATAGCAATAAAGCTGAGATAAGTAAATTCTAACAGGTTAGAAAATAAAACAAAGATGAAAAGGTTAAAATCCACCACCTCAATTCATCACGTTGAGGGGAGAACCGAAAAGCCAGCTCCCGACTTAATGGAAATAAATATTTCTGCCAAAGTCTGGGTACAGCTATAAAGGGTCACAAAAATTATCATCTCTGAATGACTTCGGCTTTCTTACTCACTGAGAAACTTTATGTTCTAAAATTATAAACAGAGTATTTGCTGTTTGAAATGTTATCGGTGAAGAGAAAACTTAGCACTCTTGCCCGGCTGATTTGTCACTTTCCATAGAAGAAAAACTGTTTTCCAGCCTAGGTGCATAGCTTCAAATAACAGGCATTTGCACTCAAAATTCCACACAAATGTCAACTTGTGATCTACAAGGAATAAAGACACTGGGTTCTCTCACAGTCTAAACATGATGTTTTGACCTTTAATACATAGGCGTCCTTTACCTTGAACCTATTGAAACTCTGCTGTGTTTAAATACCTACTCACCACCTTTCCCATAAATCGTACAGTACCTCCTTTTATTACTTTAGTTGCCCCACAGGCATGGTCTACCTTACTCTACCAAGTCAATGCAATTGTATCAGACTATAGGTTTGTCCTGTGTAGTCATAGACTAGCTGGATTAAGTCACAGAATTTCTCTGTCTAGCTCTTTTTTCCCCATACCTAAATGCAACTGGAAAAAATGTCTAATATGCCTAGCATCCCCAGAAATAAATCACATTTTCTGATTTTGCAAAATTGATTCCAATATACAATACTCATTTGAGAAAAGTGCCATTTCTCAAGTGACTGATATAAAAATGGTAATGTCCATAATAATTTGTATTCTATATTTTTTAAATGTGGATTTTTTTCTGGCCAGGCACAGTGGCTCACGCCTGTAATCCCAACACTTTAGGAGGCCGAGGCGGGCGGATCACAAGGTCAGGAGATCGAGACCATCCTGGCTAACACGGTGAAACCCCGTCTCCACTAAAAATACAAAAAATTAGCTGGGCTGGTGGCAGGCACCTGTACTCCCAGCTACTCGAGCAGCTGAGGCAGGAGAATGGCATGAACCCGGGAGGCGGAGCTTGCAGTGAGCTGAGACACGCCACTGCACTCCAGGCTGAGCGACAGAGCCAGACTCCGTCTCAAAAAAAAAAAAAAAAAAAAAAAAAAAAAGAAAGAAAAGAAAAGAAAAAAAAATCCACATTTTTCTTTTCTTTTTTTTTTGGTAGTTTTTTTTGTTGTTTTGTTTTTTTGTTTTTGAGACGGAGTATCACTCTGTTGCTCAGGCTGGAATGCAGTGGCTCTGCTCACTGCAAGCTCCGCCTCCCAGGTTCATGCTATTCTGCCGCCTCAGCCTCCCGACTAGCTGGGACTGCTGGCGCACGCCACTACGCCTGGCTAATTTTTTGTATTTTTTTTTTTTTAAGTATAGACGGGTTTTCACCGTGTTAGCCAGGATGGTCTCGATCTCCTGACCTCGTGATCCGCCCGCCTCGGCCTCCCAAAGGACAGGGATTACAGGCATGAGCCACCGCGCCCTGCTGGATTATTATTATTATTATTTTATTTTTATCTTTATTTTATTTTTATTTTTATTTTTTTGCCAGGCAAGGTGGCTCACGCCTGTAATCCTAGCACTTTAGGAGGCTGAGGCACGTGTATCTCAAATGAGACCAGCCTGGCTAACATGGCGAAAGCCCATCTTTACTAACAATACCAAACAACTTTGGCAGGTCTGGTGGCGTATGCCTGTAGTCCCGGCTACTCGGGAGGCAGGAGAATCACCTCCAGGAGGCGGAGGTTTCAGAGAGCCAAAATTGCGCCATTGCACTCCAGCGTGGGCCAGAGATCCAGAATCTGTTTCCAAAAAAGGAAAATACAGTAAAATAAATGTGGGTTTTTTTGAAAACATAATATGCTGGTTTTTTTGAAAACATAGTATGCCAGTTTTTATGTTCTTTCTGAAATTTGTATCCGTATGTATTCTTTCCACACAGAAAGTAGTATATAGACCAGCTTATACAAATGTTTCAACTATATTTGAATTTTATTTGCACAACTGTCTGAATAATTCTAATACCCCAGATTAAAGTTAGAATATGTATATTTTACCCGTTGGTCTGGTTTTTTTTTATTCTTTTAAGTCTGAGCATAATAACTCGCTAAAAAGATTTCCGTAAGGCCTGGTTTCTGCTAACATTATTTTCTTGGCTGTATTTTATCTAAGTTCATTATGCAAACCGAATTTGCGTTGTGTCTTCAAAAATGACTTCTGAAAGCCTTCCATGGTCCTGTTACGCCCCTAACCATAATGAGGTAACAGGGACCATATTTACCCTCCCAGGTTAAATAACCACAAAACTAGACAGAAATATGAACCAAAGATTTTTCTACATTCAATTCCAGGCAGCACCAAACAATAATTTCTCAGAAAAGATGAACAAAGACAGTGTAAGGATGAACCCTACTTATCACCAGGCCATAACTTAGGGGGTGTTACTAGATTGAGAAGACTAAAATCAGAGTTCAACTATATCAAGAAAGCTAGAATCTGTAGAACAAAATGCCAGAAAATAAAAGAGGACTTACACAAAAAGAAAACCCCAGAGAGGCAAAAGAGTTCATGCAGGCCTTCTGCTGGCTGTTAATCTGCATATCCATGTGAGAATATTATCTGAAGCTTAAAAGAAAGCACTGGAACAAAACTATTCCCTGTACATGCATCTATAATGTTGATTGGGCAGAGTACTTTGACTTTGCTTCTGGGTAAGTAGCATAGCATGGTCTTCGTATTATTTCTTTAGCTATATTCAATATCAGAAATGTATGAGGGTGCCTTAATGGCTTAGATTTTAGTTGTTTTAAGAGCCTGGGGTGAGACTTTGCTGGGGTTTGGTGTACTGAGTAGGCCTGTATTCAGGCTCCTGGGTAGCATCAGTAGACAGCAGCTGTGGCAGCTGCATTGCACAGGTAAGTCCTAGGGGTCCCAGGCAGCATGGAAGGGCCCCAGTGTGGTGCCTGTGGGCTAGGTGGGTCAGTCTTGAGTCCCTCATGTGGTACATGTGGGTGGCTATATTGGCAGCAGCAGCTTAGGATCTGGGTTGTGGGACCTGACATGACACTTACAGGTGTGTGGTTGTCTTGCTGCTGAGGGGCTGGGAGAAGTTGGTGCCTCAGTGGCAGCATCCTCAGGCAGGTATTTCCCACGTTCTATGGATCACACATTTTTGTTCCCTATGTTTTGACGCAGCCACTCAAATATGCTGGAATGCCTATTCCCTGGGGTATAGGATGCTGCATGATTTCCATCACCATGGACCCAACCACATTGCTGCATCCAGCTGACATCATGACACTGAGGCCTCTGGGTGGACAAGAGGGCATGTCAGCAAGGACCCAAGACACGGAGATGCAGGGGATATTGGACCCCTGGGCAAAAGGCTCTCTGATGTAGGTTCTAGACAGCCTTTTGCTCAATATCACCCTCAATACTGGGCCATGCACCAGCAGGGTGGGCCTCTGTGGGCACCGGGTCTTGCATGAGTTCCCTCTCTGGGACAGTGTAGTTGTGTGGACGTCAGGCAGGTCTCTGTTATTAGGCTTAGGATCTGTCCTCACAGGGCCAAGGGGATTCTCTGCATCTAGGATTGCAAATGCAGTCTTTCTTTCTCCCACAGTGGAGAATTCCTTTTGGTTTTGAGCCAATTCCAGCTGGCTGCTTTGGTCCCTCTCTATACTGCTGCCATCCCCAGTTTTCATGTCTTAGAGAGTCACTGTCACTTCCCTGCTGAATTCCAGCCTTCTCCCAAAGATGTTCGATTCAATGCATAGTTATCTATTTGCTATTTCAGACCTTCTTTGTGGACAAGGTGAGTTTTCAGTGACTCTAGCAGCCATCTTTATCCTTTCGTTATTGTTTTTTATTTTACTGTCTATTTATTTATTGAGATTGAGTCTTGATCTGACACCCAGGCTGGAGTGCAGTGGAGCGATTTCAGTCCACTGCCACCTCCGCTTTCTGGGTTCAAGAGATTCTCCTTGCTCAGTCTCCCAAGTAGTTGGGATTACAGGCCCCCACCACCAAGCCTGGCTAATTTTTTTGTATTTTTATTTTTGTAAAGATGGGGTTTTGCATATTGGCCAGGCTGGTCTCAAACTCCTGACATCAGGTGATCCACCTGCCTCGGCCTCCAAAGTGCTGGGATTACAGGCATGACCCACTGTGCCCAGCCTTTTATTTATTTGTTTAAAAATATATGTCAGTTATTTTTCTCTCCTTTTATCATTATTATCTCCTTATAGTATTCCATATGTTATCATCCTGCTTCATAATGTTCCATAAGTTCCTTATGCTGTCTTCATGATTCCTTATTTTTCTCTTTCATTTTTATCCTCCAATTTGATTATTTTCAAAGACTTGGCTTAATTTTGCTTATCCTTTATTCTCCTTGATCCAGTTTACTGTTCGGTCCCTCTATTTAATTTTTGATGTAGCTTCCTGTATTTTTCACTTCTTTGATTTCTGTTTGATACCTTGAAATATTTTCTACCTCTTTGTTAAACTTCTCAGTTTTTAAATGCATTACTGTCCAGACTTCTGGTAATACCTTAGAGCTTTCTGTTTTGATTTCCCTGTCAGGGACATTACATACTTTCATTTTATCAGAGTCCAGTTCTGTTTATTTCTTTTGTTCTTTACCTCAGAACATATTTTCCTCTCCACTGCACTCCCTCACTGCCCTGCCCTCCTGTAACCACTACCACCAGCCCCATTTTTCTTGACTATGAGTTGGTTTCTGCAAGTCAGTGAAGACAACCATCTTTCTCTGTTGTCCTTAACTCATCCTACGTAGGAAATTTCATTTCCTTATCAGTGCAACCAGAGATTCCAGGTGCTTCTCAATTCTGTGATTGTCCAACTCACTGTCTTTCTTCTTATGCCCCCCTCGATTGTAGTATGTGTGAAATCATACTATTCCTTTGACACAGGCAAGATAGTAGCCAGCCCCATGATATGCAGGTAAAAGGTTTTGGGATTAGATGTATATTGCTTGTGGACAAGCTTAGATTCAGAGTTTATGTCCAACTAGTTCTGCCTTATGCCAAGAATAGTGTCCATGACTGACACCTGTACAGTCATTCGTTATGCTCACTCTGAATCTGGACAGATAGCCACTGAATATTTACAACTTTGACAATCTTGTTCTCTGTGATATAGGAGACTCAGAATACAGAGTCCCATTCACTTCCAGAAGTAGACAATTTAGGACAGTCCCTTAGATACAGGCTGTAAAATTTGTGATGCATGATGTATGCAGAAGCTACTTCCAGGGAGGTTCTACAGACATTGATTTCTCACCAGAGCAAGCCAGGGAGAAGGTAGTGCAGACTGCCTGCTTTCTCCTTCTGCATTGCCAAAGTCGCACAAGCTTCTTCCAGGAAGAACCTGCAAGGCAGATTTCTTGCTGTGGCAAGGCAGAGAAGAAAGCAAGAAGGCCTGAGAGGTGTTCACTGTCACATTTATACTTCACCAAAAATCTGTCCAGGGAGAATAGCAGGAGGGATTTATTGCTAGAACAAGCCTGTGAAGCAAGCTTGCTATGTCTGGTGACAGAAGGGGAGTGCTACCTCTTCCATTCAGGATTTCAGAGATCTAACTGCCTGATTTTCTCTAGCGAGTGACGGCAGAAATCTGCTATTAGAGCAAGCCAGGGAAGTGAGTGTGGGAAGTGCTGTTCTTCTCATTTAGGCTTGGAAGTATCCTGACTCTCTGCCTCCTTCCAGATAGAGACTGCAGGGAATTTTGCCGGAGCAAGTCAGGGAGAATGTCTTAGGGAGTGATGTCTGTCTCTGTTTGGCTCATAGAGGTCTGTCTCCAGCCTACTTTGAGAGAATAATTGCAGAAATCACTGAAGGAAGTGAAAGACGGCACAGTGATTCATCTATAGGAGAGTACATCTATAGATGATCACAACTCCTCATGGGCAAGGGAACAAAACTGGATGGAGAATGAGTTTCACAAATTGACAGAAATAGGCTTCAGAAGGTGGGTAATAACAAATTGCTCTGAGCTGAAGGGGCATGTTCTAACCCAATGCAAGGAAGTTAAGAACATTGAAAAAAGGTTAGACAAATTTCTAACTAGAATAGCCAGTTTAGAGCAGAACATAAGTGATCTTTTTTCTTTCTTTTATATTTAGACCTTCAACAGATTGGATCATGCCTATCTACACCAATGAGGGCAACCTGCTTCACACAATCCACCAATTGCTAATCTTCTCTGCAAACATTTTCACTGACATATCCAGCAATAATGTTTAACAAAATTCTGGGCACCTTGTGGTTCGTTCAAGTTGACCCATAAAGTTAACCACCACATCAAGTTGCCTGTTTCATTGAATCTCTGTTATTTCCTTCTTCTTTCCTTTCTTCCTTCCTTCCTTTCTTCCTTCCTTCCTTTCTTTCTTCCTTCCTTCTTTCTTTCCTTATTTCTCCCTTTCTCCCTCCCTCTCTTCCTTTCTTCCTTCTTTCCTTTCTCCCCTCCTTCCATTCTTCCTTCCTCCCTTACTTCCCTTCCTTCCTTCCTTCCTTCCTTCCATCCTTCCTTCCTTCTTTCCTTCCTTTCCTCTACAGCTACCAAGCTTCTACTATGCTTCAGACACCACGGTCCACGTTGGGAACATAATACCAACAGTAACATAGTTCCTGCTCTTGAATCTTTTCAATGCATGCCACAAGAGAGACTTTTCAACTTGTGCATAGCTTTTTTGAAATTAGATATTTTCTAAAACAAAACCCATGAATTCAGATTCAGAGGGAGGAAAGAGCCATCTGGCCTCACAGAAAAATAAGGCCAATATTCTGCTGGCAAGTACGTTTGACCCTCTAACAATGTGTGCATTAGAGTCACTGATCCCCTGCCCAGTGAAAAATCTGCACATAATGGTTGGCTCCCCAAACTTAGCTACCAATAGCCTACTACTGATTGGAAGCCTTACTGATGATAACATAAGCAGTTGGTTAACATCTATTTTGTATGTTATGTGCATTATATTCTGTATCTTTCCAATAAGGCAAGCTGGATAAAATTAAATCATAAGTAAGAGAAAGTATATTTGCTATTCATTAAATAGAAGTGGATCATCATAAAGGTCTTTATCATCAACATCTTCATATTGAGTATGTTGAGGAGGAGCAAGAGAAGAGGTTGGTCTTGCTGTCTCAGCAGTGGCAAAGGTGAAAGAAAATCCCCATATAAGTGGACTTCTGCAGATCTAACCTGTGGTGTTCAAGGGTCAACTGTACAGATAAAGTCATTGCACTTGTTTCCATCAGGGATCATTCTGTTTTGGAGATGCTCACATCCTCATTGATCAAGAGCCCAGGATATACTTTGAACAGTCATATTTGCAAAGACTTTGCATCGGATTTCAGAAACCCACAGGTCCTAGGATTGCAATGTGTAACAGGATAGCCTGTTGCATGTAGCTATTTAAATTTAAGTGAATTAAGTGAATTAACATTAAATAAAATAAAAATCCATTTGTTTATTCACCACTAGCCACCATATTTTCAGTGTTGAATAGCAGCTAGCTAGCTATTGAACTGTGCAGATTATAGCACATTTTCATGACTGTAGAATGTTCCATTGGACAGAACTGCTTTGTGACCTGGAGTATGAAGGTGAACCCCAGACACCAGGTGAGTGATGACTAAGTCTGAGAATGTTTAAAGCTCTTCCAACATAAGGAAGTTTTCTATCTCTAACCTGAATTTCAGCAAACAAAAACAGATCATGCACAATAGCCCAATTAATGAAGGGAAAGACAGAACTTCCTCATCATTGGCCACATGACATCTCCTCATGCTAAACCTACAGTCTTTGTATTTTATGAGTTTCTACCCATATGCAGGACACATATTACGGCAAGACATTGGGGACAGAACAATCTCCACAGGTCTCCTGTCTCTATTCCTCCAGTCAATGTTTCTTTGTATTTTTACATTGTCATGCTCTGTTTCTGGTTTTAAGAGTTCAGACAGAGGCTAGGTGCTCTTGTTTATGCCTGTAATACCACTACCTTTGGAGGTCAAGGTGGGCAGATTGATTTAGCCCAGGAGTTCTAGGCAAGCCTGGGCAACATGACAAAACCTTCTCTCTACAAAAAAATATGAAAATTAGCCAGATGTGGTGGTGTGTGCCTATAGTCCCAGCTACTCAGTAAACTGAGGTGGGATGATCACCTGAGCCTGGGGAACTCAAGGCTGCAAAAACCAAGATCTTGACACTACACTCCAGCCAGGGCCACAGTGTGAGACTGTCTCAAAAAAAATTAAGATTTAAACAGTTAAAGGGGGAGGAGCCAAGATGGCTGAATAGGAACAGCTCCAGTCTACAGCTCCTTGTGTAAGCGACACAGAAGAGAGGTGATTTCTGCATTTCCATCTGAGGTACCTGGTTCATCTCACTAGGGAGTGCCAGACAGTGGGCGCAGGTCAGTGGGTGCATGCACTGTGTGGCAGCTGAAGCAGGGCAAGGCATTGCCTCACTCAGGAAGCACAAGGGGTCAGGGAGTTCCCTTTCCTAGTCAAAGAAAGCGGTGACAGAGGGCACCTGGAAAATCGGGTCACTCCCATCCGAATACTGCACTTTTCCGATGGGCTTAAAAAATGGCGCACCAGGAGATTATAGCCTGCACATGGCTGGGAGTGTCCTATGCCCATGGAGTCTCACTGATTGCTAGAACAGCAGTCTGAGATCAAATTGCAAGGTGGCAGCGAGCCTGGGGGAGGGGCGCCCACCATTGCCCAGGCTTGCTTAGGTAAACAAAGCAGCTGGGAAGCTCCAACTGGGTGGAGCCCACCACAGCTCAAGGAAGCCTGTGTTCCTCTGTAGGCTCCACCTCTGGGGGCAGGGCACAGACAAACAAAAAGACAGCAGTAACCTCTGCAGACTTAAATGTCCCAGTCTGACACCTTTGAAGAGAGCAGTGGTTCTCCCAGCATGCAGCTGGAGATCTGAGAATGGGCAGACTGCCTCCTCAAATGGGTCCCTGACCCCTAACCCCCAAGCAGCCTAACTGGGAGGCACCCCCTAGCAGGGGCAGACTGACACCTCACACTGCCAGGTACTCCAACAGACCTGCAGCTGAGGGTCCTGTCTGTTAGAAGGAAAACTAACAAACAGAAAGGACATCCACACCAAAAACCCATCTGTACATCACCATCATCAAGGACCAAAAGTAGATAAAACCACAAAGATGGGGAAGAAACAGAGCAGAAAAACTGGAAATTCTAAAAAGCAGAGTGCCTCTCCTCCTCCAAAGGAACCCAGTTCCTTACCAGCAATGGAACAAAGCTGGACGGAGAATGACTTTGACGAGCTGAGAGAAGAAGGCTTCAGACGATCAAATTACTCTGAGCTATGGGAGGAAATTCAAACCAAAGGCAAAGAAGTTGAAAACTTTGAAAAAAGTTTAGAAGAATGTATAACTAGAATAACCAATACAGAGAAGTGCTTAAAGGAGCTGATGGAGCTGAAAACCAAGGCTCGAGAACTATGTGAAAAATGCAGAAGCCTCAGGAGCCAATGCAATCAACTGGAAGAAAGGGTATCAGCGATGGAAGATGAAATGAATGAAATGAAGCAAGAAGGGAAGTTTAGAGTAAAAAGAATAAAAAGAAATGAGCAAAGCCTCCAAGAAATATGGGACTATGTGAAAAGACAAAATCTACGTCTGATTGGTGTACCTGAAAGTGACGGGGAGAATGGAACCAAGTTGGAAAACACTCTGCAGGATATTATCCAGGAGAACTTCCCCAATCTAGCAAGGCAGGCCAACATTCAGATTCAGGAAATACAGAGAATGCCACAAAGATACTCCTCGAGAAGAGCAACTCCAAGACACATAATTGTCAGATTCACCAAAGTTGAAATGAAGGAAAAAATGTTAAGGGCAGCCAGAGAGAAAGGTCGGGTTACCCACAAAGGGAAGCCCATCAGACTAAGAGCGGATATCTCAGCAGAAACTCTACAAGCCAGAAGAAAGTGGGGCCAATATTCAACATTCTTAAAGAAAAGAATTTTCAACCCAGAATTTCATATCCAGCAAAACTAAGCTTCATAAGTGAAGGAGAAATAAAATACTTTACAGAAGAGCAAATGCTGAGAGATTTTGTCACCACCAGGCCTGCCCTAAAAGAGCTCCTGAAGGAAGCGCTAAACATGGAAAGGAACAACCGATACCAGCCGCTGCAAAATCATGCCAAATTGTAAAGACCATCGATACTAGGAGGAAATTGCATCAACTAACGAGCAAAATAACCAGGTAACATCATAATGACAGGATCAAATACAGATAACAATATTAACTTTAAATGTAAATGAACTAAATGTTCCAATTAAAAGACACAGACTGGCAAATTGGATAGAGTCAAGACCCATCGGTGTGCTGTATTCAGGAAACCCATCTCATGTGCAGAGACACATATAGGCTCAAAATAAAAGGATGGAGGAAGATCTACCAAGCAAATGGAAAAGAAAAAAAGGCAGTGGTTGCAATCATAGACCTTGATAAAACAGACTTTAAACCAACAAAGATCAAAAGAGACAAAGAAGGCCATTACATAATGGTAAAGGGATCAATTCAACAAGAAGAACTAACTATCCTAAATATATATGCACCCAATACAGGAGCACCCAGATTCATAAAGCAAGTCCTGAGTGACATACAAAGAGATTTAGACTCCCACACATTAATAATGGGAGACTTTAACACCCCCCTGTCAACATTAGACAGATCAACGAGACAGCAAGTCAACAAGGATACCCAGGAATTGAACTCAGCTCTGCACCAAGCCGAACTAATAGACATCCACAGAACTCTCCACCCCAAATCAACAGAATCTACATTTTTTTCACACCACACCACACCTATTCCAAAATTGACCACATACTTGGAAGTAAAGCTCTCCTCAGCAAATGAAAAAGAACAAAAATTATAACAAACTATCTCTCAGACCACAGTGTAATCAAACTAGAATTCAGGATTAAGAATGTCACTCAAAGCCGCTCAACTACATGGAACTGAACAACCTGCTCCTGAATGACTACTGAATACATAACGAAATGAAGGCAGAAATAAAGATGTTCTTTGAAACCAATGAGAACAAAGACACAACATACCAGAATCTCTGGGACACATTCAAAGCAGTGTGTAGAGGGAAATGTATAGCACTAAATGCCCACAAGAGAAAGCAGGAAAGATCCAAAATTGACACCCTAACATCACAATTAAAAGAACTAGAAAAGCAAGGGCAAACACATTCAAAAGCTAGCAGAAGGCAAGAAATAACTAAAATCAGAGCATAACTGAAGGAAATAGAGACATAAAAAACCCTTCAAAAAATTAATGAATCCAGGAGGTGGTTTTTTGAAGGATCAACAAAATTGATAGACCACTAGCAAAACTAATAGAGAAAAAAAGAGAAGAATCAAATAGATGCAATAAAAAATGATAAAGGGGATATCACCACCGATCCCACAGAAATACAAACTACCATCAGAGAATACTACAAATACCTCTATGCAAATAGACCAGAAAATTGAGAAGAAATGGATAAATTCCTCGACACATACACTCTCCCAAGACTAAACCAGGAAGAAGTTGAATCTCTGAATAGACCAATAACAGGAGCTGAAATTGTGGCAATAATCAATAGCTTACCAACCAAAAAGAGTCCAGGACCAGATGGATTCACAGCCAAATTCTACCACAGGTACAAGGAGGAACTGCTACCATTCCTTCTGAAACTATTCCAATCAATAAAAAAAAGAGGGAATCCTCCCTAACTCATTTGATGAGGCCAGCATCATCCTGATACCAAAGCCGGGCAGAGACACAACTAAAAAAGAGAATTTTGGACCAACATCCTTGATGAACATTGATGCAGAAATCCTCAATAAAATACTGGCAAACCGAATGCAGCAGCATATCAAAAAGCTTATCCACCATGATCAAGTGGGCTTCATCCCTGGGATGCAAGGCTGTTTCAATATACACAAATCAATAAATGGAATCCAGCATATAAACAGAACCAAAGACAAAAACCACGATTATCTCAATAGATGCAGAAAAGGCCTTTGACAAAATTCAACAACACTTCATGCTAAAAACTCTCAATAAATTAGGTATTGATGGGATGTATCTCAAAATAATAAGAGCTATCTATGACAAACCCACAGCCAATATCATACTGAATGGGCAAAAACTGGAAGCATTCCCTTTGAAAACTGGCACAAGACAGGGATGCCCTCTCTCACCACTCCTATTTACCATAGTGTTGGAAGTTCTAGCCAGGGCAATCAGGCAGGAGAAGGAAATAAAAGGTATTTAATTAGGAAAAGAGGAAGTCAAATTGTCCCTGTTTGCAGACGACATGATTGTATATCTAAAAAACCCCATTGTCTGAGCTCAAAATCTCCTTAAGCTGATAAGCAACTTCAGCAAAGTCTCAGGATACAAAATCAGTCTACAAAAATCACAAGCATTCTTATACACCAACAACAGACAAACAAAGAGCCAAATCATGAGTGAACTCCCATTTACAATTGCTTCAAAGAGAATAAAATACCTAGGAATCCAACTTACAAGGGATGTGAAGGACCTCTTCAAGGAGAACTACAAACCACTGCTCAAGGAAATAAAAAAGTATACAAACAAATGGAAGAACAGTCCATGCTCATGGGTAGGAAGAATCAATATCATGAAAATGGCCATAGTGCCCAAGGTAATTTACAGATTCAATGCCATCCCCATCAAGCTACCAATGACTTTCTTCACAGAATTGGAAAAAGCTACTTTAAAGTTCATATGGAACCAAAAAAGAGCCCACATCACCAAGTCAATCCTAAGCCAAAAGAACAAAGCTGGAGGCATCACACTACCTGATTTCAAACTATACTACAAGGCTACAGGAACCAAAACAGCATGGTACTGGTACCAAAACAGAGATATAGACCAATGGAACAGAACAGAGCCCTCAGAAATAATGCCGCATATCTACAACTATCTGATCTTTGACAAACCTGAGAAAAACAAGCAGTGGGGAAAGGATTCCCTATTTAATAAATGGTGCTGGGAAAACTGGCTAGCCATATGTAGAAAGCTAAAACTGGATCCATTCCTTACACCTTATACAAAAATCAATGCAAGATGGATTAAAGACTTAAACATTAGACCTAAAACCATCAAAACCCTAGAAGAAAACCTAGGCATTACCATTCAGGACATAGGCATGGGCAAGGACTTCATGTCTAAAACACCAAAAGCAATGGCAACAAAAGACAAAATTGACAAATGGGATCTAATTAAACTAAAGAGCTTCTGCACAGCAAAAGAGATTACCATCAGAGTGAACAGGCAACCTACAAACTGGGAGAAAATTTTCACAACCTACTCATCTGACAAAGGGCTAATATCCAGAATCTACAATGAACTCAAACCAATTTACAAGAAAAAACCAAACAACCCCATCAAAAAGTGGGCGAAGGACATGAAGAGACACTTCTCAAAAGAAGACATTTATGCAGCCAAAAAACGTGAAAAAATGCTCACCATCACTGGCCATCAGAGAAATGCAAATCAAAACCACAATGAGATACCATCTCACACCAGTTAGAATGTCAATCATTAAAAAGTCAGGAAACAACAGGTGCTGGAGAGGATGTGGAGAAATAGGAACACTTTTACACTGTTGGTGGGACTGTAAACTAGCTCAACCATTGTGGAAGTCAGTGTGGCGATTCCTCAGGGATCTAGAACTAGAAATACCATTTGACCCAGCCATCCCATTACTGGGTATATACCCAAAGGACTATAAATCATGCTGCTATAAAGACACATGCATACGTATGTTTATTGTGGCACTATTCACAATAGCAAACACTTGGAACCAACCCAAATGTCCAACAATGATAGACTGGATTAAGAAAATGTGGCACATATACACCATGGAATACTATGCAGCCATAAAAAATGATGAGTTCATGTCCTTTGTAGGGACATGGATGAAATTGGAAATCATCATTCTCAGTAAACTATCGCAAGAACAAAAAACCAAACACCACATATTCTCACTCATAGGTGGGAATTGAACAATGAGAACACAGGGACACAGGAAGGGGAACATCACACTCTGGGGACTGTTGTGGGGTCGGGGGGAGTGGGGAGGGATAGCACTGGGAGATATACCTAATGCTAGATGACGAGTTAGTGGGTGCAGCGCACCAGCATGACACGTGTATACATATGTAACTAACCTGCACATTGTGCACATGTACCCTAAAACTTAAAGTATAATAATAATAAATTTAAAAAAAAGAAAAAAAAAATTAAAAATAGATAAATAAATAAATAAATTTAAAAATGTTTCAGATAGAGAATTCTTGAAGCTGTTAATACTGGAGGTGATTTCCTGGGTATTAAAAGTCAAAGCCTCTGAGCTATGTCAGCTTAAGTGTATGGTTTTACCTGGTTAAGCCTCAGCTTCTGCACCCTTTTCTCCCCCAAAAAATGGGGATGAAGATAAAAACACTTCCTGAGGTTGTGGTAAATAGCAAATATCTAACAGAGCTTTCAGAACATAGAATTGCTCAGTAAAAGTTTGATGACACTTTGTAAATACACTTGGTTTTCTCTATAGGATCTCAAAAACATTTCTGCCAGCCTCCTGTCTTTCAGAGAAGAGGAATTTTTCTTTTTCTTTTTCTTGTTTTTTATTATACTTTAAGTTCTAGGGTACACGTGCACAACATGCAGGTTTGTTACATATGTATACATGTGCCATGTTGGTTTGCTGCACCGATTAATTCATCATTTACATTAGGTATTTCTCCTAATGATATCCCCTCCATCCCCCCACCCCATGACAAGCCCCGGTGTGTGATGTTCCTTGCCTTGTGTCCAAGTGTTCTCATTGTTCAATTCCCACCTATGAGTGAGAACATATGGTGTTTGCTTTTCTGTCCTTGAGATAATTTGCTCAGAATGATGGTTTCCAGCTTGATCCATGTCCCTGTAAAGTACATGAGCTCATCCTTTTTTGTGGCTGCATAGTATTCCCTGGTGTATATGTGCCACATTTTCTTTATCCAGTCTATTATTGATGGGCATTTGGGTTGGTTCCAAGTCTTTGTTATTGCAGTGCCACAATAAACAAACACGTGCATGTGTCTTTATCGTAGCATGATTTATAAACTTTTGGGTATATATCTAGTAATGGGATGGCTGGGTAAAATGATATTTCTAGTTCTAGATCCTTGAGGAATAGCCACACTGTCTTCCACAATGGTTGAACTAATTTACACTCCCATCAACAGTGTAAAAACATTCCTATTTCTCTACCTCCTCTCTGGCGCCTGTTATTTTCTGAATTTTAATGACTGACATTCTAACTGGCTTGAGATGATATCTCATTGTGGTTTTGATTTGCATTTCTCTGATGACTAGTGATGATGCTCATTTTTTCATGTGTCTATTGGCTGCATACATTCTTCTTTAGAAAAGTGTCTGTTCATATCCTTTGCCCACTTTTTGATGGGGTTATTTGGATTTTTCTTGTAAATTTGTTTATTTTCAGTACATGTGAAGGTTTGTTGCATAGGTAGACCCATGTCCATGGGGGATTGTTGCACAGATTGTTTCATCACCCAGGTATTAAGCTCAGTATCCAAAAATTATATTTTCTGCTCCTCTCCCTCCTCCCACCCTCCCCCTTCAAGTAGACCCCAGTGTCTGTTGTTTCCTTCTTTGTGTTCATAAGTTATCATCATTTAGCTCCCACATGTAAGTGAGGCCATGCAGTATTTGGTTTTCAATTTCTGTTTTAGTTTGCCAAAGATAATAGCCTCCAGCTGGATCCACGTTCCCACAAAAGACATGAACTCGTTCCTTTTTGTGGCTGCATAATATTCCATGTTGCACACATACCACTTTTTCTTTATCCAATCTGTCATTGATGGGCTTTAGGTTGATTCCATTTATTTGCTATTGTGAAGTGTTGCAATGAACATTTGTATGTATATGTCTTTATAGTAGAATGATTTTAATTCCTCTGCATATATACCCAGTAATGGGATGCTGGGTCAAACAGTAGTTGTGCTTTTAGCTCTATTTATTTATTTATTTATTTATTTATTTATTTATTTATTTGAGATGGAGTCTCACTCTGTTGCCCAGGCTGGAGTGCAGTGGCATGATCTAAGCTTACTGGAACCTCTGCCTTGTGGGTTCAAACAGTTCTTGTGCCTCAGCCTCCTGAGAAGCTCTGATTACGGATGTCCACCACCACACCTGGCTAATTTTTTTTTTATTTTTTGAGTAGAAATGGGATTTCACCATGTTGACCAGGCTGGTCTCAAGCTCCTGACCTCAGGAGATCCACCCTCCTCGGCCTCCCAAAGCGCTGGGATTATAGGCATAAGCTGCCACACCCAGCCTGCTTTTAGTTCTTTAAGGAATCACCACACTGCTCTCCACAATGGTTGACTTATGTAAATCTTGACCAATAGACCGGGGTGGACCAAACCTCTTTATAGACAATGAGGCTCACGGCTCAGCACAAGGACTCCATGAGTCATTACAGGAGAGAAATTGGATGACATGGAAATAGTCTACTGATAGCTAGGAAAGTCCCCACCACAGCATGTGGAATGCTGGGGGCTTCACTCATACTCACTTCAAGGAATGTGTCTACTCTGGAAGAGAGAGAAGAATAAAAGTCAGGAAGAGGAAGGAGGCCATATTTCATGTCCTGGAATCACTCAACACTGTGAACATTAATCCATGAAGTAAAACAAAACAGTACAAAAGATGACCATATTCATGTAGTTTTAAAATGTGCGTTGAGCCTTTGAGTAAATGCTTTTGATCAAAATTTTATTCATTTGCCAACAGCAGACTAATCTGATAAAAATGAAGCATTCTGAAGGAACATGCATAATCTAGAAAGAGTAGTATTGAAAAGAATCCAGACTATTATTATCTTAATTTTTTAAAAGTATTAAAAATTATTTGAGAGGTGACGGAAAGATAGTCTTTGTATGTTTATCTTGAAACTGCTACATTTGGAAACAGATCCTTCAGACTTGAGGAAATAGTAATAAAGCATTAAATGCAATTCAATACCAGTCCCAAATTCAACTTACTTTAAGAGATGTCAGTTAGAAATACTAATGCATCGGTTATAGGAAAATTAATTCAGCACCATTTGCTTAGCAAATGATGGGATGATTGGCCCTAAAGTGAAATTATTAAACAAAAAATTTAAGAACCAAGTCTCTTTAAGTGCTTTGAAGAATAAGAAAGTTTGCAAAAGAATTGTGGTATGGTTTGGCTGTGTCCCCACCCAATTCTCATCTTGAATTGTAGCTCCCACAGTTCCCACATGCCATGGAAGGGACCTGATGGGAAGTAATTGGATCATGGGCATGGGTCTTTCACATGCTATTCTCATGATAGTGAATAAGTCTCACAAGATCTGCTGGGTTTACAAGGAGGAGTTCCCCAGCACAAGTCCTCTCTCTTTTGCCCACCACCATGTAAGAAGTTCCTTTCCTCATCCTTCATCTTCTGCCATGATTGTGAGGCCTCCCAGCCATGTGAAACTGTAAGTCCATTAAACATCTTTTCCTTTATAAATTACCCACTTTTGGTATATCTTTATTAGCAGCATTCGAACTGACTAATACAAATTCATTCTACCCTAGGCTAAAGCCTCAATAATTGTTTAAGTCTAATATGAAAACTCAGAGCCAATCCAGCCAAGCGATTTAGAAGAGGTCCACATTCTTCTTTCCATTTGGAGAGAAATGTAGCAATAGCCACCCCAAGTGAGTGCTGGGCATGGGTCAGGCTGGGGTTAATTGCATCACAGCAAGTATCACTTATTCTCATAGCCACTGGCAAGATGGGTATACAGTTCCTGTTTTTCAGTCAATAAAACTTAACCATGAATGGGATACATAAGTTCAAGATACGTGTCATTTCATAAGAAACCAATGTATGCAAATGCACATAGCAGAGAAAGATTATATTCTCCTGGAATCTGAAAATGTAGTCCCAAATATCCCCCTGATCCATGCCAGTGTAGGTGTCCTTGAAGTTTCACCTTACCTTTTATTGATACTTATTTTATTTTAGATTCAGGAGGTACATGTGTAAGTTTCTGACCTGAGCATATTGCATGATGCTGAGGTTTGGGCTCCTAATGAACCTGTCATCCACATAGTGAGCCTGTTACCCAATAAGTACTTTTTCAACCCTTCTCCTCCTCTTTCCCTTCCTGCTTTTGGAATCCCTAGTGTCTACTGTACCTATCTTGGTGTCCATGTATACTCAATATCTAGCTCCCACTTATAAGTGAGAAAATACGTTATTTGATTTTCTGTTGCTGGTGTTAATTCACTTAAGATAATGGCCTCCAGCTGCAGCCATGTTTCTGCAAAGGACATGATTTCAACCTTTATCATGAGTGTGCAGTATTCCATCATGTATATGCACCAAGTTTTCTTTATCCAGTCCACCATTGATGGGCACTTAAGTTGGTTCCATGTCTTTGCTATTGTAAATAGTTCTGCAAGGAACATAAGAGTGCATGTGTGTTTCTGGTAGAATGGTTTATTTTCCTTTGAGTAGATACCCAGTAATAAAATTGCTGGGTAGAATGGTAATTCTATTTTTAAATATTTAGAAATCTCCAAACCGATTCCCACCAGGGCTTAACTAATTTACATTCCCACCAGTACTGTATAAGTGTTCCCTTTCCTCTGCAGCCTCAGCAGCATCTGTTGTTTTTTCACTTTTTAAGGCCATTCTTGCTGCTGTGAGATGCTATCTCATTGTGATTTTGATTTGCATTTCTCTAATGATCAGTGATGTCAAGGCTTTTTTAATATGATTGTTGTATTCATGTATATCTTCTTTCAAAACTTGTCTGTTTATGTTCTTTGCTGATGTTTTACTGGGTTGTTTTGGGTTTTTTTCTTGTTGACTTCTTTAAGTTCCATATAGATTCTGGATATTTGTCCTTTGTCCACTGCATACTTTGCAAATACTTTCCCCATTCTGTAGGTTGTCTTCTTATTCTGTTGATAATTTCTTTTGCTGTTCCACCTTGTCTTAAATATGCACCATTCATACTAGATGTCTTACAGTGTATCTGTTTAAACACTTACGTGCAGTGAATTGGCTCCAGGTGGAAGTTCCCTGCCTTGGTCTTGATAGCCTGTAGGCTGCAGTCCATTCTATCTCTGGGGCATCTTTGTAGGTAGGTGAATGAAGGTGAGGCATGGACCTACATCCCATAAAGTTGATGTAAAGGAGCAGCTCACCAAAGTCAGTCAATGGAACCTAACAATGTAAGGAAGTCTTTCCCTGAGCATGGAGCATAAGTTGGCTTTCCCCACTAACTTTTTTCTCTGCCCCTCACTTTGCTGGTATGAACGGAGGCTAACAAAGACTTTGTTGGAAGTGCTAAAGAGAAAAATGCAAGCTTTCTTTTGGTTTCATTTGGCACTTGTCAAATAATTTTTCCAGTCTCCCGTAATAACTACAAGAGCAAGGGTTGCATTTTTTCTTGATGGAGACAAAAATAAAAAGTGCATATTTCAGTGTGTCTGTCGGAACCTGACTTTCCAATGCAGATGATAGATTTTTGGAAGGAAAAATATCTCCATCTTCTGTTACAGGGTTAACTATGTGCCTGTAAAATGTCCATGTTGAAGCCCTAAGTCTCAGTATCTTAGAATGTGACTTTATTTGGAGATAGGGTATTTAAAAAGGTAATTAAGGTAAAATGAGGTGATTATGAATGGCCCTAATCCAATAAGACTAGAGCTCTTACAAGAAGAGGAGATTTGGACACAGATCTGCATAGAGGGAGGACCATGTGAGCACACAAGGAGAAGACAGTGTCTGCAAGCCAAGAAGAAAGGTCTCAGAAGGAACCAGCACTTCCCATACCTTCATCTTAGACTTCCAGCCTCCAGGACAGTGGGGAAATAAATTTCTGTTGTTCAAGCCACCCAGTCTGTGACTCTTTGTCATGGCAGCCCTAGGAGATGAATATAGCCCCCTTATAAACAGCAACTTCCTGTGCATCCTGCTTAAATTTCCACCAACCCTGCACACACACACACACACACACACACACACACACACACACCCCTAATGGGATGGGCTGTTAATGCATTTTTGGCTCAATATTTAACTTTCAGGACACATATACTTGGCCAACTTCAACACCACGAGGACTCTTCACTCCTGTGCAACAGGCTATGGTCCCATGATTCTCACCTCCTGTAAAGCCCTCTGGGTAGGAAGAATTCTCTCCCTATCTTCCATTCAGTTTCCTCCTTGAAGTTCTCAAAATATCCCTGACTTCTTGGCCCTGCTTGTCTCCTGGGGGAGAAAACACTGGTCATCGCCAAAGAAAAGAGCGTTGATAGGACTTCCTGACAATGCCTTCAAGTGTGTTTTCATTCTGCAACTATTCAGTCATCAGTCAACTGCTCCAGACAAAAGGAGGGCACTTTTGAATGAAAATAAGAAATATATAAGCAATAGAAAAGGTATCAGAAAAGTCATGTGGCCGAGCACAGTGGCTCATGCCTGTAATCCCAATCCCAACACTCTGGGAGGCCAAGGCAGGCAGATCATCTGAGGTCAGGAGTTCGAGACCAGCCTGGCCAACATTGTGAAACCCCATCTCTATTAAAAATACAAAAATTAGTCAGGTGTGGTGGTGGGCACCTATAATCCCAGCTACTCAGGAGGCTGAGGCAGGAGAATTGCTTGAACCCAGGATGCAAAGCTGCAGTGAGCTATAATTGAGACTACAGTTGCGCACCACTATGCCTGGCTAATTTCATGTATTTTTTTGTAGAGAAGGGGTTTTGCTATGTTGCCCAGGCTAGTCTCAAACTCCTGGGTTCAAATAATCTACTCGCTTGAGAGTGCTGGGATGCCACTGCACCCAGCCCTATTTATTCATTTTTAATTGACAAATAAATATTGTATATTCTTTGCATCAGTGATAACATCTTTGAGAGCTGCTCCACGCTGTGTTTTTTCCATAAGCCCTATGTTATAATTGAGCACTTTTTGCATAGCAAAAACTGATTCAGGAGAACACATCTGTCTCCTTTATGCAGAACGGACTATATTTAACAAGAGAGGAAAAGAGTGGGATTGAGTTTCTAGATCCATCTTGAGAGCACGGTGTGTTCAGACCTGCCTTGCAGACTCAGTTGTGGTTCTCCCATCATGACCTTAATGAAGAAAGAAAACAAGCCCTGACTGAGTTGCCTAGTTCCCTTTCAGATTGTGTGGGCCCTCGAGCTGTTCTCTTCAGAACCAGGGCTGAGTATATCTAAGTATGTTCAGAAAGATGATTTAAAGCAGAGGTGCTCAATCAGGTGTGGTTTATTTATTTATTTATTTTATTTCAATAGGTATTGAGGGAACAGGTGGTGGTATTGGGGGAAGAGGTGGTAGTGAATTTACAAGGATAAGTTGTTCAGTGGTGATTTCTGAGATTTTGGTGCACCCATCACCCGAGCAGTGTACGCTGTACCCAATGTGTCATCTTTTATCCCTCACCCCGCTCCCACCCTTTCCCCTGAGTCACCAACATCCCTTACATCATTCCTATGCCTTTGCATCCTCATAGCTTAGCTCCCACTTATAAGTGAGAACATTTGATGTTTGGCTTTCCATTCCTGAGTTACATTACTTAGAATAACGGTCTCCAATTCCATCCAGGTTGCTGCAAATGCCATCATTTCATTCCTTTTTAGGCTGAGTAGTATTCCCTGGTATAGATATATCTTTTTACCTGTTGATTGATGGGCATATGGGCTGTTTCCATATTTTTGCAATTGCAAATTGTGCTGCTATAAACATGTGTGGGCAAGTCTTTTTCATATGGTGACTTCTTTTCCTCTGGGTAGATACCCAGGAGTGGGATTGCTGGATCAAATGGTAGATCTACTTTTAGTTCTTTAAGGAATCTCCACATTGTTTTCCATAGTGGGTGTAGTTTATTTAAAGCTGGTGGGATACATCAGATGTGATCTATTTACAGTATTCAGGGTCAATCAATCTGGTGTCGCTTTTTTAGAGCATTGGGGTCAAATAGATGTGGTCTATTTAAAAGAGGTGGGAAAAAAATCAGGTGTGGTTCCAAGAAAGTGGAATAAATCAGATTTGGCCAATTTAAAGCAGGTAGGCTTCATCAGTTGTGGTTGATTTACCCAATTGTGGGGGTCAATTGGGTGTGGCCTTTAAAGCAGGTGTGTACCAATCAGGTATGGTCTATTTAAAGCAGGTGGAATTGATCAGGTTTGGTTTATTTAGAGCATGTACAGTCAGTTAGGTATGGATGATTTAAAGCAGGTGGGATAAAGCCAGTGTGATCTTTTTAAAGCAGTAGGATTGATCAGATGTGTCTACATAAAGCAGGCAGGGTCATTCAGGTGTGGTGTATTTAAAGCAGGCAGAATCACTGCGATGTGGCCTACTCAAAGCAGGCAGGGTCAATCAGGTGTGGTCTATTTTAAGCAGGTAGGATTACTCAGGTGTGGTTTATGTAGAGTCAATCAGGTATCGATGATTTAAAGCAGGTGAGATAAAGCAGGTGTGGTCTATTTAAAGCAGGTGAGATAGAACAGGTATGGTCTATTTAAAGCAGTGGGATTGATCAGATGTGTCTGCATAAAGCAGGCAGGATCAATCAGGTGTGGCATATTGGTGGAATCACTGAGATGTGGGCTATTCAAAGCAGGCAGGGTCAATCAGTCATAGTCTATCTGAAGCAGATGGGATTGATCAGTATGGTTTATTTAGAGCATGTAGAGTCATTCAGGTATGGATGATTTAAAGTAGGTGGAATAAAGCAGGTGTGGTGTACATTAAGCAGGTGGAATAAAGCAGGTGTGGTATACATCAAGCAGGGTCAGTTAGTGTGTGATCTGTTTAATACAATGGGATTGATCAGATGTGTCTACATAAAGCAGGCAGGGTCAATCAAGTGTTGTGTATTTAAAGGAGGTGCGATAACGCAGGTATGGTGTACATTAAGCAGGCAGGGTCAATCAGGGATGGTCTATTTAAAGCAGGCGGGATTGATCAGGCATGGTTTATGTAGAGCATGTAGTCAATCAGGTATGGGTGATTTAAAGAAGGTGTGGTCTATATTAAGCAGGCAAGGTCAATTAGGCATGCTCTATTTAAAGAAGGTGAGATATAGCAGACATGGTCTATTTAAAGCAGGGGAAATAAAGCAGGTGTGGTCTGTTTAAAGTAGTGGGATTGATCAGATGTGTCTATATAAAGCAGGCAGGGTCAATCAGGTGTGGTGTATTTAAAGCAGGTGGGATTACTCAGGTGTGGTTTATGTAGAGTCAATCAGGTATGCGTGATCTAAAACTGGTGGCATAAGAGAAAACAGATATGGAATACATAAAACAGGCGGGATCAATCAGGTGTGCTCTATTTAAAGCAGGTGGGAGAGATCAGGTGTGGTCACTTCAGAGGAGGTGGGTTCATAGAGAGATTCCTGGCCCAGAAATGGGGATGAGGTGTATCCTGTTCCCAGCTCTGCATAATTGATAAAAATCCATCCAATCTCTAGACAGCACAGATCTGTCTGTACTCCTAGAATGTTTGACTCAGTGGCCTACACAACAACTGCAGGACCAAGTTGAGCTCTGAAATTCTCTTCTCTCCAGAGCTCCTCCATGGATTCCTCCTAAATCCACCTCTGCTCAGACCTTGGTTTCCACAACCGAGATCTCTTTTCTCTTTCCATGCAAATAACTATTTTGTTTTCGAAAAAAGGAAATACTTGAATACGCTGTTGTGGCGGTGGCTGCTCTTCTACAGGCATAAACACGATTTCTTCTTCGTGAAGACCTCTCCCTGTGAATGTGTGAAGCTGATTTCAGATGAGCACAGAGTGTGTTTAATTAAGGTGCTTCCTTTCCCGGCCAGCGTGCGGGACCCAGGAGCCATGTGCGGTAGCTCGCTGGCCGGGCTCTCATCTCCCTCCCAAGCAGAGGGCGGTGGACACCAAGCAGCGGGATGTCGGCAGCCAGGAAAGCTTGGGGAAAAGGCTCTGTCTACTGCCAGGGACGAGGCTTCCTGCCGGAGTCTCAACGGACTGTGGACGCCACATGGTAGACGGACCACGGTAGCGCCTGGTAGCACCACGGCGGCTTTCCACGCTGCGGCTTGGAGTGGTCCTTGTTTAGATTCCTTTAGGGAGGTTCCGGAAGGAGCTGGACGCTAAAGTGCGGTTGTGTGTCCAGTAGGCTTGCTGGACGATGGTGTGGACGGTCATAGAAGAGCTTTATGTTTTCCAGGTAGAGAATGAGTTTGAGAGCCAGGTAGGGGGTGGCTCCCTCAAGAAAGGGGAGACAGGGCCTCTGATGGTCACAGGGCTGGGTGTATCGGCGGCATGTGGGATCCAGTTCATGTAAGGAGGGATGCGGCTGTAAGTAGGTCTGAAGACTCTGAAAGTACTGTTCCCCTTAGCAAAGATGGTGAGTGGCTGGGTGTGGGTGTCTGTGTGCCTCGGTGTCTGTTCTGTGTGTATCTGTGTGGTTTGGTGTGTGTATGCATGTGTATATGTCTGTGTATATGCCCCTGTATGTCTCTGTGAGCATGTATGTGTATCTGTGTCTTGTGTATGTGTGTGTCTGCATGAATACACGTCTGTGTGTGTATTCTTGTATGTATTCATGGGTGTCTGTGTATGGGTGTACATTGTGACAGGTGTGCTGTGTCTTTTTTATATATCTCTGTGCATATGCATGTATGTGTGTATGAGTATGTGCATATATGTTCTCTGTGTGTCTGTTTGTGACATAGGTATGCGTATATATATGTCGCTGTGTGCCTGTGCCTATATAGATGCCTGTGTGTGTGCCCGTCTGAGAGAGTGTTTGTGTGCATCTGCATGTGTGTCTCTGTGTGTGCATATGTGTCTGTGTCCTGTGCATTTATGTGTGCACATGTATGTATGTGTGTGTGTTTCTGTATGTATTCATGTATGTCTGTGGGTATGTATGCACTGTGATAGTGTACTGTGTGTTTTACGTGTGTCTCTGTGTGTATGCCTGTATGTGTGGATGAGTATGTGCATATGTGTTCTAAGTATGTCTGTGGTTATGCGTGTCTGTGTATATATGCATGTGTGTATATATGTCTCTGTGTGTCTGTCCGTGTGTGTATGTAGATGTCCATGTGTGTACCCAACTGTGTCTGAGTGTCTGTGTGTTTGTCTGCCTGTGTGTCTCTGTGTGCATGTTAGTGTCTATTTGTATATGTGTGTCTGTATATGTAAGTATACGTGTTTCTGTGTGTTTATAGATACCTGTGTATGTGCCCAGGTGTTGCTGAGAGTGCCTGTTTGCCTGTGTGTCTCTATGTGCATGTGTGTGTATGTGTGTCTGTATAAGTAAGTCTGTGCATGTCTGTCTGTGTGTATAGATACCTATGTGTGTGCCTGAGCATGTCCAAGTGTGTCTCTGTGCATGTGTGTGTCTGTTTGTATATATGTGTCTGTGTATGTATGTGTGTTTCTGTGTGTATTATAGATACCTGTGTATGTGCCAGCATGTCTGAGAGTGTCTGTTTGCCTGTGTGTCTCTGTGTGTGTCTGTATGTGTGTCTGTATATGTACATCTGTGCACATCTGTCTGTGTGTGTATAGATACCTGTGTGTGTGAGCATGTCATGAGTGTCTCTGTGTACGTGTGTGTCCATTTGTATATGTGTATCTGTATATGTAAGTCTGTGTGTGTCAGTGTGTGTGGATACCTATGTATGTATCTGATTGTGTTTGAAAGTGCCGTGTTTATCTGCCCATGTGTCTGTGCATGTGTGTGTCTGTAAATGTGTATTTGTATATGGAAGTGTGTGCACATCTGTCTGTGTGTGCATAGATATCTGTGTGTGTGCACAGGCATGTCTGAGTGTTTTGGTGTGTGTACGCCTCTGTGTGTGTATATATGTTTGTCTGTATATGTAAGTCTGTGCACGTCTGTCTGTATGTATATAGATATGTGTGTGTGTGTGCCCGAGCATGTCCGAGTGTGTCTCTGTGTGTTTGTATATGTGTTTCTGCACATGTAAGTCTTTGCATGTCTGTGTGTGTATAGATACCTGTGTGTGTGCCTGGGCATGACTGTGTCTCTCTGCGTGTGTGTGTGTATATATGTGTGTCTATATATGTAAGTCCATGCACATCTTTCTGTGTGTGTATAGATACCTGTGTGTGCCTGGGCATGTTGGAGTGTGTCTCTGTGTGTGTGCATATGCATGCATCAGTGGCTGGGTTTTCACTCTGCCCCGGGCTACTGTGATGAAACTTGTGGCTGTATTCCATGTGCACTTGCCCTGCTCACCCCTGGAACCCATAGGAAGAAACATAAGAGGAGGCGGATGCTTGCAGATCAGCATTACTCTGCCGACGAGTGAGCCCCAAGAGGTGAGAGGGGGAATCACAGGCAAGGCAATTCTAAACCTCTAACGCTTGAGTTGCTGGGACATGCAGTCCAACAAGACAAAGGCTGCCTTGCCCACCAGGGACTTAGTTCTTAGTGATGCTCTATGCCTGGATGCATCTGTCTTAGGCAGGTACCTGCACGTGAGCCCAGCACTCTAGGAGCATGCACGGGTCTGCAAAGCATGGTCAAAATTCCATAACTCAGGACTTCTTAGAAGGGTTTAAGGAGGCAGAGGAGTTTGGCTGGCTTGTTGTTCTCATGATTCAACCCACCCATTTTACCAGCGATCAAGATGAGCATAGATTCTCACTGTACCTGCTCAGCAGAGAAGGCAGCATCCAAACCTGTGGATCTGCAAGTGTGGCCTCTGCAAAAACAGCCTCAGCATCACCTATGCCCATCTTAGCAACAAAGATGCCAACTCCACTCCAGATCCGATGGAGCAGAAACGCCGGGGACTTCACAGTAGCCAAGCTATGGAAACAAGCAAAGTGTCCATGGACAGAGGAATGAAGAAACTGTGCTCTATGCACACAATGGAATATTATTCAGCTTTAAAGCATTCTACTTTGTCCTGAGAATACTGCCCAGGCAGTGAGATGCATTTTTTTTTTCTAAACAGGAAATGTGTTAATAAACAAAGAAGGGAAAAAGGAGACTCTGTCATTTTCTGCAACATAGATGAACCTGGAGGACATTCTACTTGATGCACACTCGTTGATGCAGTTTCTACGTAGTATCATTGGTCTTTATATTTTGGTGGGTTTTTCAGTGGCTGGTACCTATTTTTCCTTTCCATACATCGTGCTTCTTTCAGGATCTCTTGCAGGGCAGGCCTGGTAGCAAAAAATTCCTTCAGAATTTGCTTGTCTGGAAAGGATTTTATTTCTTCTTCACTTCTGAAGCTTAGTTTCACTGGATATGAAATTCTAGGTTGAAAATCCTTTCCTTTAAGAATGTTCAGTATTGGCCCCTAATCTCTTCTGGCTTATAGAGTTTCTGGTGAGACATCCACTGTTAGTCTGATGGGCTTCCCTTTGTAGGCGACCTGGCCTTTCTCTCTGGCTGTCCTTAAAGTTTTTCTTTCATTTCAACCTTAGGGAATCTGATGATTATGTGTCTTGGGGTTGATGTTCTCATGGAGTATCTTAGTGGTGTTTTCTGTATTTCCTAAATTTGGATGTTGGCCTGTCTTTCTAGGTTGAGGAAGTTCTCCTGGTTAATATCCTGAAGTGTGTTTTCCAGCTTGTTTCCATTCTCCCCATCTGCTTTTGGTACTCCACTCAATCGTAGGTTTGGTCTTTTTACAAAGTCTTATATTTCTTAGAGGCTTTGTTTATTCATTTTCATTCTCTTTTCTCGCATCTTGTCTGCATGTCTTTTTTCAGCAAGGAGGTCTTCAACCTCAGATATCCTCTCTTCTGCTTGATTGATTCAGCTGTTGATGCTTGTGTATGCGTCATGAAGTTCTTGTGCTGTATTTTTCAGCTCCATTAGGTCACTTATATTCCTCTCTAAACTGATTATTCTAGTTAGCAGTTCATCAAACCTTTTATCAAGTTTCTTAGCTTCTTTGCATTGGGTTAGAAAATGCTCTTTTAGCTCAGTGTAGTTCTTTATTACCCATCTTCTGAAGCCTAATTCTGTTAATTCATCCATCTGATCCTCCGTCCAGTTCTGTGTCCTTGATGGAGAGACGTTGTAATCATTTGAAGGAGAAGAGGCACTCTGGCCTTTTGGGTTTTCAGCATTTTTTTTGTTATTCTTTCTTGTGAGTTTGTCTAGCTTCGCTCTTTGTGGCCACTGACCCTTAGATGGGGTTTTTGTAGGGGCTTTGTTGTTTTTGTTGTTGATGCTGTTGTTGTTGCTTTCTGCGTGTTTGTTTTGCTTTCAATAATCAGATCCCTCTTCTGTAGGGCTGCTGCAGTTTGCTGGGGGTTCACTTCAGGCTCTATTCATCTGATTCACTCCCATGCCTGGAGATGTCACTCAAGGAGGCTGGAAAAAGCAAAGATCATGCCTGCTCCTTCTTCTGGGACCTCTGTCCTTGGAGGGCACCAACCTGATGCCAGTAGGATCGCTCCTATATAGGCCGTCTGACAACCCCTGTTGGAGGGTCTCATCCAGTTGGGTGGCATGGGGAGCAGGCCCCATTTAATGAAGCACTTTGTCCCTCAGTGGAGGCAGTGTGCTTCACTGGGGGGAATCTCACTCATCTGGGCTTCCGGATTCCTCATAGCTACCAGGAGGAGAGGCTAAGTCTGCTGGTCCACATAGACTGTGGCCACCCCTCCCACTAGCTGCTCAGGCCCAGGGAGATCCAAATTCTGTCCCTGAGCCTCTGGATGGAGTTATTGGAGATCCTGAAGGAAAGCCTCACCCATTGAGGAAGAATGGGTCAGGGTTAGGCCTGAAGAGGCACTCTGGCCACAGATTGCCACAGCCAGTGTGTTGGGCTGTGGGGACAAGTCTTGGGACCAAGCCATCCAGCCTCCCTGGCTCCAACAGGGGAAAGCACAGCCTGGAGCTATAGAAATGTGTGCCAACCTTCCCCTGCCCAGGGAGCTTAGCATGCTAGGCAGTTTCGAGTTGCAAAAACTGGCTGCTGCCCCTCCCCCAAAGAGCTGGCTGCTGCCTCTCCCCCAAAGAGCTCAAATGGTTTAGACAGCAGACAGCCTAGACAGCAGGCAGCTGCAGCTGGTGCTGGTCGCCCCTCCCCCCAGGAGTTCGGTAGGCTTAAGCAGATTCCAGCTGAGAGGCTGTAAGAATCTGCCATTCCGGGGTTGAGACACTAGGTCCCGGTGGCATGGGTTTTGGGCTCATGAGTGGGATCTTCCGATCCATGGGTTGTATAGTTCTGTGGAGAGAGCACAGTTTCCCCGGCTGGGTAGCAGGCTCACTCACCACCTCCCTTGGCTGAGGGGAGGGGGTTCCCCTTCCCTGTGTGACTCTCAGGTGGGCCGCCGCACCACACTATTCTTCCTTCTCTCCGTGGGTCACACAGGCCTTCTAGTCAATTTTGATGAGAGAACCTGGGTGCCTTGGTTGTTGGTGAAGGATTCGCATGCTTTTTATAGTTTTCTCCATGGGAGCCTCTGAACGCGGCAGCTTCTAGTCGGCCATCTTGGCCCCGCCCCCTCATCTTTCTTTAATGAAACATTTGTGTGATGATTGGAAGCTGAGACCATTTAGAAATATTCTTTCCTGACGTGGATGTGAAAAGTCGTGCAAAGCCTGATTTTATTCCTTGAGTGATTGCTGAGGGTGAGGTAGTGTTGGGTTGTGGTTTCACTAAATACTTTTGGTAAGGACCATTTAGGATTGGGAGTTGTACCAAGGGCACCCCTTGTTCTTAGACTTTAGGATTTGGATTGACTTACACCACAGGTGTATTAGTCTGTTTTCATGCTGCTGATAAAGACATATCCAACACCAGGTAATTTATTCTTTTTTTAAAAAAAAAGAGGTTTAACGGACTCAAAGTTTCACGTGCCTGCGGCGGCCTCACAATCATGACAGAAGGTGAAAGGCACATCTTCCATGGAAACAGTCAAGTGAAAATGAGAGCCAAGCAAAAGGGGTTCCCTTACTAAACCATCAGATCTCATGAGACTTATTCACTACCATGAGAACAGTCTGGGGGAAACTGCCCTCATGATTCAATTATCTCCTACCAGGTCCCTCCCACAACACATGGGAATTATATGGCAGCTACAGTTCAAGATGAGATTTGGTGGGGGACACAGAAAAACCATATCGACCAGTTTATCTAGCTATTCAACTTGTAGAATATGGTGGGTGGGACTTAGCCTCCATAATAATTTGAGCCAATTCCCATAATAAATGTTATCTGTATCTAATAGCTATAGCTATATATAGCTATCTGTCCTGTTGTTTCAGTTTTTCTGGAGAATGCTAACAAATATATCCCTTATCAGATATATGATTGGCAAATATAATGTATATTTTCATTCTGTATTTTGTTTTTTGTTTGTTTTGGTTTGTTTTTTTTTTAACCTTTTGCTTGTGTCTTCTGATGAACAAAAGTTTTGTTGTTGTTGTTGTTTTGTGCAGTCCAGTTTACCTGTTTTTCTTTTTGGCTTTTGTCACCTGTGTCTGGTGGCATGGCCAAGAAATTATCCTAAGCTTCTAAAACTTTTTCTAGACCATCTAATGTACATGCAGAGTGGAAAACATGAGATCTTTTTGGGCCTTTCTCTGCTCAGGAATTTCTGCATGCAGTCAGCCATCCAGACAACTGAGTCCAATGGCACCTTCACCCTATCTGTACCCATGCAGAATGTGGGCCCCTGCTAAGAAGACTGTATTTACCAGGAGGGTGACAGACAAGCCAATTTGGCAAAAACCAGTTTGGCAAAAGCACACAAGTGAAGCCAGTGGCTTTCTCCAGCCGACCATCTCCAAAGGTGTTGCTGGCTAGCCCTTCATGTCCAAGAAGTGGCTTCACCAGTAATATCCTAAGAATAGCCCCAATACATTAACCATCAACAACCAGATTTTCCAAGGGTCACTTTGAGAAAATTTCCTGTGTTTTTGTTATCTTTTCCAATTTTTTCCCAAAGAAAAGTTTGTAAATCTGGCCTCCTGATGAGAGTCTCTTTGTAGATGCAAGAGGTCATATTCAGAAAGTATGTGCCTGCAAAGATTACATTTTTCAAGAATGTCCTTTATTTTTTCTTCTCCAGATGGTGACACATGGAGATTTTGCAGTGATGCTACAAACACCCCATCAGATAGCTTTTCAGGGGGAGAAAGGTGACAGATAAAGCCAATAAAGGATCTAAGATACCCTACCAAGTGCCCACATACAGGGCAGTTTCTTATCCCCATGGCTTTCAGCTTTTGCCTGCAGGTTCCAGACTGCTGACATCAGCCCATGGAAGGATTGAGGTACAGGTGTGTGCCCAGAGTCCCAGAGCACAGCACAGACATCTTCCAGGATTATAAATCGAGCAGCATGTCAGCAGTTCTTATGCCTAATACCTGCACTGGCTGCTTCTATTGGCCCAGGGAAGGACTTATTTCTCTGCTATACTTTTATGGATGATTTCCTGGTTGTGGCAAGGGCTTCTCATGCATGTATCCCTCAGTTGCCCTAATCAGATAGGTGCTTCATGCACAATAGTTGTCACAATGACATTTGTATTTGTCTGTTCTCATGCTGCTAACAAAGATGTACCTGAGACGGGGTAAGTTACAAAAAAAAAAAAGAGTCTTAATGGACTCAGTTCCACTTGGCTGGGAAGACCTCACAATTATGGCAGAAGGTGAAGGACACGAAGGCACATCTTACATGGTGGCAGGCAAGAGAGCTTGTTCAGAGAACTCCATCTTATAAAACCATCAGATCTCATGTGACTTATTCACTATCAAGGAACAGCACAAGAAAGACCCACTCCCATGATTCAATTACCTTCCACTGGGTCCCTTCCACAACATGTGAAAATTGTGGGAGCTATGATTCAAGGTGAGATTTGGGTGGGGACACAGCCAAACCATATCAACATTTTTCCTGTTCTAATCCTTAGGGAGCCAAATTGTGTTACCTTGAAAACTATCTCTGGGCAGAGAGTGTATTTATAATAAAAGCTATACTATTCTTCGGGAGAGAACCATCCATTCCCTCCAGGCTTGGACTTTAACCATATGTAAAATTTGTAAGCATAGAACTTTCTCAGAGGCTTCAAGAATCTGTATGTGTTTATGTGTGTATTTGAGACACAGTATATGCTTTTGAGCTACTTTCACTGGGGTATCAGTGAAAATATCCAATAAAATGTTCATGTTCTCAAAAGAAACCCTTTGCCATTATCCATCATGTCCCACTGATAGATGCAAAACACAAATGTGGATGTGTTTGCTGAATGCATTTTGGAACTTGATCTTTAGGTATGTAAGCAACCTGAAACTTATCAGTCAGAATTTTAGCTTGGTGAACTTTTTTTCTGTTGAAAGCCTGTTTGAAGATGTGTTGTAATTCAAGACTGATTTTAACATTAACCTCTATGTCTTATTTCACCCATTCAAAACTCTCTGTTACCAACATACAAACAACATGCCATTTGGATGCACAATTTACTCTATAAAGAATGGATGTCCTAATGAGCTGGATCTCCGCATTCTTGGGAACTGCAGTTTACAGAGTGAGAAAGAATGCAGAAGAAAATGGAGATGAGGGGAAAGAGAGGATTGCTTTGGAGGACACACAGAGACACAGGTACATATACAAGCAGACACAGACACATGCATACATTTATACAGAAACACATGCATACATACAACTGTATGCATGCACATATATACACACAAACACATGCACAGATAAACTTATGCAGAAATTAATGCATACATAAATTTGTATGCATGCACATATATACACACAAACCCATGCATACATAAACTCAAGCAGAAATCCATGCACACATACACCTGCATGCATGCACATGTATATGCACACATGCACACACTTATACAGAAACCCATGCATACATACAACTGCATGCATGCACATATACATATAAACACATGCATACATGCATGTTCTCATGCAGAAACTGCATGCATGCACATATATACACACAAACACATGCATATATAAACTCATACAGAAACTCATGCATACATTTACCTGCATGAATGTACATACATGCCCACAAATACATGAATTCATAATACAGAAACCCATGCACACATACACAGAAACACATGTGCATATACAAACACACATACATAATACACTCCTGCAGAAATGCATGCATTTGTGCATCTACACATACAAACATGAACACACAGAAACACATGTGTGTACACAAATTCATACAGAACACATGCATACAGACACATAGACATACAGTCTCAAGGTGAGTCACCCAGGTCAGGGCCAGATTGGGGACATGGCTGAGACTCATCTGACATTCTCAAATGTCAGATGAGGCACTTCCAAGCAAAGTTTCCAGTGGAGGAAGAAAGTGCACATGGAAGGAAACCTTTCCTTATGTGTTACACAAGGTCTAAGAAACTAATACAGGCCTTTACTTCACACTATACACAAAAATAAGCTCAAAATGGAAGAAAGACCTAAATGTTAGTGGTGAAATTACAAAATTCTTGGAGGAAAATCTAGGCAATAAATCTTTATGAACTAGCCAGGTACGGTGGCTCATGCCTGTAATCCCAGCACTTTGGGAGGCCGAGGCACTTTGGGACCCCTTGGCTGAGACTCAAGGGGCCCATATGTTTGGCAAAGGAGCCATGATCAGGTTAAAACCCCAGGTACACAGGCTGCAGGCTACAGCCCCAGTGCCAGCAGCATGCAGGTGGATGAAGCTAGAGCAGGCTCAAGCAGCAGCCCAGCTATTCTTCTGTTGAGCCTCCCTGAACTCAAGGCCTTCTCTCCATGGTTAGGATGTATTTTGCTCCCCACATTTCACTTCCAGACCTCAGCTCGAAGAAGCTCTTGGTGATGATGGCTGAGGGCAAGACATGAAGAATAGGCCATGCATTTCCCTAGAAGGAACCATGAACCTATGGACACACCAAGCAGGTCTCTGCTTTGCACTGAATTTACTCCACCCCATTCTTCCAGCTTAGTGGGAGATTTGCAGCTCTTCAGATTATCGAACAGATACTAAGTGTGCACATTTTGCAGTTTGCATGCCTGAAAGTGAGTTCAGTAACCTTTGACACCTAACCCCATCAGGGTGGTCCAGGAAGGACAACTAATGTTAACAGTGACTAAAATGACTGCCAAGGGCTGTATCCAATAGCATTTGCAAATTCAGCTTTTTTTTTTTTTTTTTTTTTTGAGACGGAGTCTGTCACCCAGGCTGGAGTGCAGTGGCACAATCTCGGCTCACTGCAAGCTCCACCTCCCGGGTTCACACCATTCTCCTGCCTCAGCCTCCCAAGTAGCTGGGACTGCAGGCGCCCACCAACAAGCCTGGCTAATTTTTTGTATTTTTAGTAGAGATAGGGTTTCACTGTGTTAGCCAGGATGGTCTTGATCTCCTGACCTCGTGATCCGCCTGTCTGAGCCTCCCAAAGTGCTGGGATTACAGGCATGAGCCACTGTGCCCGGCCGCAGATTCAGCTTTTATCTCAGTACCATAAACATGCAACACTGTAACCATTTGTGTTATAACTAAATCAGTTCAGCACTTTTTCTATTTTAATTTTTGTTGAGCTCTGACTAGGTGAAAAATACTCAACTAGCCCATATGCCCACCTGGAAAAGAGCCCAGTGCTGGCAAAAGAGTAAGCTTATTTATAGGACTGCATTCTGCATTTCATCCATGTGCAAAAGAAAAAAAAAAAAAAGAAAAAAGAAAAATTGAAAACATAAAACTTGAGAAGGACCACCTGATACAGGTGATTCTTTTGTTTTTTCTTTTTTTTTTTTTTACATTTGAGAAATATTTCACCAAACCATTTATTAGACTAATTAATGGAAGGGGGACCCTACATTTAACACACAGAATACTGGATCTTGGATATTTTCATCTGTTCAGGTCTCAATGTTTCTGTCCCTTCCCCCCACATCCATATGACAAAGCTCTAACTGCCAGTGTGGGTGTATTTGGAATAATGTCTGTTAAAAGAAAAACCTTAGACAAATTAAATGTAACAGAGGATGATTGAGCAAAGAATGATTCCCAAATCAGGCAGCCCCCCCGAAAACCAGAATAGGTTCAATCTCCGGTGCTGCTGCATGGTCAAAGATTTATGGACAGAAAAATGAAAGTGAGGTACAGAAACAGCTGGATTGGTTACAGCTTGGCATTTACCTTATTTTAACACAGTTTGTACCACTGGCCACTTTTGATTGGTCAAATCTTGGTGGTTGGCACAGGAGTAGATTCCAGTCTGTTTGCACGTTTGCACATCCAGTTAGGTCACAGTGCACTGTGTGCAGAGATTAACTTAAAATATGTGAGGAGGCAGCTTTAGGCTAAACTTAATTTAACAGGATATAATTAAGATTCAATGATATTATGGTTTGACTGTGTCCCCACCTAAATCTCATCTTGAATTGTAGCTCCCATAATCCCCACGTGTCATGGGAGGAACCCAGTGAGAGGTAATTGAATCACGAAGGCGGGTCTTTCCCATACTGTTCTTGTGGTAGTGAATAAGCCTCACAAGATCTGATGGTTTTGTAAAGAGGCATTCTCCTGTGCATGCTCTCTTGGCTGCCACCATGTAAGATGTGACTTTGCTCCTCCTTAGCTTTTGCCATGATTGTGAGGCCTTCCCAGCCATGTGGAACTGTGAATCCATTAAACCTCTTTTTCTTTATAAATTACTCAGTCTTGGGTATGTCTTTATTAGCAGCATGAGAACAGGCTAATACCAACGTCATAAGGATGGAGACCTGATGTGATAGGATTAGTGTCCTTATAAGAAGATACTCAGGGAAGCTCTTTCTCTCTCTCTCTCTCCCCTCCTCCCTCCTTCCCTCCCTCTCTCTGGCCATCCCATGCTGTTCACCATGTGAGGACCCAGCAAGGAGGCACTGACTACGAACCAAGAACCAAGTCCTCACCAGACGCTGAATCTACCATGCTTTGATCTTGGACCTCCAACCTTCAGAACTGTGAGCAATAAACGTCTGTGGTCTAAGCTCCCCAGGCTATCACATTTTGTTGGGCATCCTGAGCTAAGAGACTATCTCTGGGTGTCTAACCCTTCACTTATCTGTTGCTGGGTCCAGTGGATCGTACAATCTGCAATATAGATGCATGATAGGCCTCCAAAGGAAGCAAATGGACATTGGCCAGCTGAAGAGATCAGTCAAAGGATCAGTCAAAGGACTGTGGTCATTAAGGTACAGCTCCCACTTGCCATCCCCGGGACCCAGAGGAAGCACACAGGTACATGTGTAAGCAGCATTTTATATTCTTCAGCATTTCTTTTTGCCAAGATGATGAAAGGGACATGGGAACAAATTTGTCCTCACTGGTTTCTTCTGCATTGTCTCTGGGGTGAGTAATGCTCCCTGAGTGTGTACACCTGCATGAGCCCAGTCAGCCCTGCTACTGGCAGCAGTGTGACTTCTTAGGGGAAAGGCTTGTGCTTTGTTGACAGGGTGGGGAACTTTCTGATAAAATGCTCCTGGAATTAACATTTGACAGATTAACTGTGCTGGAAGACAGAGTCATAAACAGAGGGTTCTGGGGAACCAGTGAGAGCCGGAACCTCATGGTGGACATCTGTCTATCTATCTATCTATCTATCTATCTATCTATCTATCTATCATCTATTTATCTATGTATTTATCATCTGTCACCTATGTCTATCCATTATCTAGCTATCATCTATCTATATAAAATCTATTACCCGCCTATCTATTCATCTATCATCTATCTATTTATCTATCCATCATCTCTCTCTCTAACTATTCCTACTATGGAAATGTGCTTCAGTGTGTACTCAATCAGAGCTTCCCCATGCACAGATTTCATCTGGGTTCAGCACTCTGAGGGGTGCATTATGAATGATTTCAAAGGATTCGAGGTCAATCCTGGATATTCCCAGGTGTAAGGAAAGCATTGTGGAAACTTAAGTTCATATCCTTGCTTTGTTTAGGTCAGATCCTAAATAGCCAGGTACACAGAGGTGTGTCTTGGGCTCTGTTTGAATAGTCATGCAGGCTTACGTTCTCTTTGCCATCTGGCCATTTGTATGAATCCAGTTGATGATAACACAACACATTAATAAGCAGGTACCTCCATAAATGTCCTACCATTGATGTTACTGCATGGGGTGAAATATGTCATTCAGGAGCAAGAGTGAGGGAAGCAATGACCTTCCCAGTGTGTGCAGGAAATAAGAGCTTTCTGTCAAGGAAGAGATGAGTCTGTTATTTAGCTTAAGCAGACTTCCATGTATCAGACAAACAACTACATTTAAAAGAATGCATTTGGGAAAAATGTATATATTGGAATATATAGCTCAGCATTGCAAAGAAACAATGCCTGAATTGTTGTGAGTTCTAGTATACGTCCACCAAATATCTTCTCCCTAACAATGGTGGGAAGGAACCACACCTTCAGAATTTTTTGGGACCCCAGCCACAGGAATGACAACCAAATAAAATTGCTTTACACTCCTCTGATTGAGGAGATTAGAAATTATGCTTTTTGCTCTCTGGGAAATTGCTAGGTATGCTTGCAATTCAGGAAATCCTTCTTACCTCACTCATAGTTAGGTTGAAGTAGAGGGGTCAGAAAGACAAGAGTAGTGAATGTGATTTGAGGCTTTTAGGAATCAGCATCTGACCTTTCTCCTAATAGAAAGGTTTCCTTCCATGTGCACTTTCTTCCTCCACTGGAAACTTTGCTTGGAAGTGCCTCATCTGACATTTGAGAATGCTTAACTTGATTGAGTCCATGTAGAGCTCTTGAGGTTGGGATGGGGAGCTTAGACTCCCCTTGGGTAGGGCTCTCTTGGCTTCCCTGAGAAAATATCTCAGCCAGATATTCCCTCTGGATAGACTTCCAAGTTTATCTCTACTGTGTCACTTTGGGCAACTTGAATACCCTCAGAATATGAGGTAATTACAGCATTTTATTTCCTTTTTTTTTTTTTTTTTTTTTTTTTTTGAGACGGAGTCTCGTTCTGTCGCCCAGGCGAGAGTGCTGTGGCGCGATCTCCGCTCACTGCAAGCTCCGCCTCCCGGGTTCACGCCATTCTCCTGCCTCAGCCTCCCGAGTAGCTGGGACTATAGGCGCCCGCCACTGCGCCCGGCTAATTTTTTGTATTTTTAGTAGAGACGGGGTTTCACCGTGGTCTCGATCTCCTGACCTCGTGATCCGCCCGCCTCGGCCTCCCAAAGTGCTGGGATTACAGGCGTGAGCCACCGCGCCCGGCCAACATTTTATTTCCTAATTGACCCAAATCTAATTGCATCCAAAGAGTTGCAGTGCCCTTGGCTACAGCCTGAGATATTTCTGTAAAATCATGAAAATCCACAAGAAAGGGATTAGTGGAATTTCTCTGAGCCAAAAAGAGGAAGAATCCATTGTTATCCTAAGAAGTCCCCAGTGTAGAGGACACACATCAATAACAAGATATCCTTCTGTGATCTCAGGGAAATAGTCTCCACTTGTGGCTTGGCCAACATTGTGGCATCAAAGTCATCTCATTTAACTTGACTTTTCTCACACTTGGATCGTTGCTTCTATTCATCTTTAACCCCATTTTCTGCCTTCATGTCTGTGCAGGCATGAATTCATAGCTTCCAATCTTATATCTTTCTCATTGTCTTCACCAGATTCCCTATTCTTTCCCTTTTCCTGATAGTCTTGGTAACAGCTGGAGTTACCCATACTCAAAAATCATAATTTAAAAAGTCTCCATGAATGAAGAGGGCAGAACCAAGAAGGATATCTGGCCTACCACCTTTGCAGAATTCTGTCCAAAAGAATGACTCAATATTGTACCTTAAAGCTATCTCGTATTTCCAAGCAGATAAGATCATTGTGGTCTCCAACAATGTCAAAGAATTCATGGTCTCTTTCTTTCCTTCTTCACACATTTCCATTCTCACTATACTCAGCCCACACCTAGCACATTGACTGGTATACACCAGGTGCTCAGTGTCTTCACTTCATGAATGAATGCATTTTACCTTTACCCAATGATATCATAAGTGATAAGAGTTCTCAGTTTGATTTTTTTAAATGTATTTATGGAGTACTTCAAAGTTTCCTACAGAGCTATAGTGACCAAAATAGCATAGTACTGGTATAAAACCAGACACATAGACTAAGGGAACAGACTAGAGCACCCAGAAATAAATCCACAGATCTAAAGCGAACTCATTTTTCACAAAGGTGCCACAAACATACCTTGAGGAAAAGACAGTCTCTTCAATAAATAGTACTGGGAAAACTGCATATTCACATATGGAAGAATAAAACTAGACCTCTGTCTCTCACCATATACAACAATTAAAACAAAATGGATTAAGGA